>NC_000002.12:16600664-16752179 GCF_000001405.40 Homo sapiens | reverse complement strand
GGCTGGGCCCCCTTGAGGAAAGACCCCACTACATTACTGACAATTTATGCAGTAAATCTTTCTCCCATCCTTTCCCAAGAAGACCTCCAGCCTTTTACCAGGGTAACCGTGCAATGGGTAAAGGGAAATAATCAGACATTTTGGGAACTACTGGACACTGGCTCTAAGCTGACGTTGATTCCCAGGGACCCAAAATGCCCTTGCAGTCCTCCAGTAAAAGTAGGGCCTTATGGAGGTCATGTACTTAATGGAGTTTTAGCTCATATCTGACTTATAGTGGGTCCAGCGCGTCCCCGGAGTCATCCTGTGGTCATTTCCTTAGTGCCAGCATGCATAATTGGCATGGACACACTTAGAAACTGGCAGAACCCCGACATTGGCTCCCTGACTGGTGAGGTGAGGGCTGTTACAGCGGGAAAGGCCAAATGGAAGCCATTAGAGCTGCCCCTATCTAGAAAAATGGTAAATCAAAAACAATATCTCATCCCTGGAGGGATTGTGGAGATTAGTCCCACTGTCAAGGACTTGAAAGACACAGGGGTAGTGATTCCCACCACATCCCCATTCAACTCTCCCATTTGGCCTGTGCAGAAGAAAGATGGATCTTGGACAATTACAGTGGATTATCATAAGCTTAACCAAGTGGTGACTCCAGTTGCAGCTCCTGTACCAGATGTGATTTCATTGCTTGAGCAAATTAACACACCTCCTAGTACCTGGTATGCAGCCATTGACTTGGAAAATATGTTTTTCTCCATTTCTGTCCATAAGGCCCACCAGAAGCAATTTGCCTTCAGTTGGCAAAGCCAGAAATAGACCTTTACTGTCCTACCTCAGGGGTATATCAACTCTCTGGCTTTTTGTCATAATCTTATTCGGAGAGACCTTGATCTCTTTTCACTTCCACAAGATATCACGCTGGTCCATTACACTGATGACATTACGCTGATTGGATCCAGTGAGCAAGAAGTAGCAAACACACTGGACTTAATGGTTTATGCCAGAGGATGTGAAATAAATCTGACTACAATTCAAGGACCTTCTACCTCAGTAAAACTTCCAGGGGCCCAATGGTGTGGAGCCTGTCGATATTCCTTCTAAGGTGAAGGATAAGTTGCTGCATTTGGCCCCTCCTATAATCAAGAAAGAGGCACAATGCCTAGTCAGCCTATTTGGATTTTTGAGGCAACACATTCCTCATTTGGGTGTGTTACTCTGGCCCATTTAACAAGTGACATGAATGGCTGTTAGTTTTGAGTAAGGTACAAAACAGGAGATGGCTCTGTAACAGTCCAGGCTGCTGTGCAAACTGCTCTGCCACTTGGGCCATATGACCCAACAGATTAAATGGTGCTTGAGGTGTCAGTGTCAGATAAGGATGCTGTTTGGAGCTTTTGGCAGGCCCTCATAGGTGAATCACAGCAGAAGCCTCCAGGATTTTGAAGCAAGACCCTGCCATCTTCTGCAGATACTACTCTCCTTTTGAGAGACAGCTCTTGGCCTGTTACTGGGCTTTGGTGGAAACTGAATGTTGGACTATGGGTCATCAAGTCACCATGTGGCCTGAACTGCCTATTATGAACTGGGTGCTTTCTGACCCATTGAGCCATAAAGTGGGTCATGCACAGCAGCATTCCATCATCAAATGGAAGTGATATATAGGTGATTGGGCTCGAGCAGGTCCTGAAGGCTCAAGTAAGTTACATGAGGAAGTGGCTCAAATGCCCATGGTCTCCGCTCCTGCCACCCTGCCTTATCTCCCCCAGCCTGCACCTATGGCCTCATGGGGTGTTCCCTATGATCAGTTGACAAAAGAAGAGAAGATTAGGGTGTGGTTCACAGATGGTTCTGCACGATGTGGAGGCACCACCCAAAAGAGGACAGCTGCAGCACTACAACCCTTTTCTAGGACATCCCTGAAGGACAGTCGTGAAGGGAACTCTTCCACATGGGCAGAACTTCAAGCAGTGCACCTGGTTGTGCACTTTGCATGGAAGGAGAAATGGCCAGAGGTGCGATTACGTACTGATTCACGGGCTGTAGCCAGTGGTTTGTCTGGATGGTCAGGGTCTTGAAAGAAGCATGATTGAAAAATTGGTGACAAAGAAATTTGGGAAAGAGGTATGTGAATGAACCTCTGTGAGTGATTGAAAACTGAACATATTTGTATCCCATGTGAGTGCTCACCAGTGAGTGACCTCAGGAGAGGAAGACTTTTCTAATCAAGTGGATAGGATGACCTTTTCTGTGGACACCACTCAGCCACTTTCTCCAGCCACCCCTGTCATCACCCAATGGGCCCATGAACAAAGTGGCCATGCTGGCAGGAATGAAGGTTATGCATGGGCTCAGCCACATTGACTTCCACTCATTAAGGCTGACCTGGCTACGGCCACTGCTGAGTGTCCAAGTTGCCAGCAGCAGACACCAATATTGAGTCCTGGATATGGCACCTGGTGGCAGGTTGGTTATATTGGACCTCTTCCATCATGGAAAGGGCAGAGGTTTGTCCTCACTGGAATAGACACTTACTCCAGATATGGGCTTACCTATCCTGCATGCAATGCTTCTGCCAAGACTACCATCCATGGACTCAGGGATGCCTTATCCACCGTCATGGTATTACATACACCATTGCCTGTGACCAAGGAGCTCACTTTACAGCTAAAGAAGTGTGGAAGTGGGTTTTTACTCGTGGAATTCACTGGTCTTACCATGTTCCCCATCATCCTGAAGCAGCTGGATTGATAGAACGGTGGAATGGCCTTTTGAAGTCACAATTTCAATGCCAACTAGGTGACAATACTTTGCAGGGCTGAGGCAAAGTTCTCCAGAAGGCTATGTACGCTCTGAATGAGCATCCAATATATGGTACTGTTTCTCCCATAGCCAGGATTTCCAGGAATCAAGAAGTGGAAGTGGAAGTAGCACCCCTCACCCTCACCCCTAGCAATCCACTAGCAAAATTTTTCCTTCCTGTTCCTGTGACATTGCATTCTGCTGGCCTAGAGGTATTAGTTCCAGAGGGAGGAACACTGCCACCAGGAGACACAACAACAATTCCATTAAACTGGAAGTTAAGATTGCCACCTGGACACTTTGGGCTCCTCCAATCTTTAAGTCAACAGGCTAAGAAGGGAGTTACAGTGTTGGCTGGGGTGATTAACCTGAACTATCAAGATGAAATCAGTCTACTACACCACAAAGGAGGTAAGGAAGAGTATGTGTGGAATACAGGAGATCTATTAGGGCATCTCTTAGTATTACCATGCCCTTTGATTAAGGTCAGTGGGAAACTACAACAGCCCAATCCAGGCAGGACTACAAATGACCCAGACCCTTCAGGAATGAAGGTTTGGGTCAGTCCACCAGGAAAAAAACCATGACTTGCAGTGGTGCTTGCTGAGTGCAAAGGGAATACAGAATGGGTAGTAGAAGAAGATGGTCATCAGTACCAGCTATGACCACGTGACTAGCTGCAGAAAGTCATGAGTATTTCCTCCTTTTTTGTTAAAAACATGTTTGTGAATGTATACACTTGTACTAAGAAAATATCTTCATTTTATTTTCTTTCTCCTTTATTATGTGATATAAGATTTATTGACTTCACAACAGCATTGAAGTATTGTTAACTTTATGTAGTGGTATTTGGGTTGGGAATTGGTGCATTTCCAGTTGTACAAAGGATAGTTGTCTTATGTTAGGCATAATTATGACCCCATTACTGTCTTTACTTGAAGATTATGTATGATCTCAAGAGATGTGTATGAGTTCAAGTTGACAAGGGGTGGACTTCTGATGGTTAATACTGTCAACTTACTTGGATTGAAGGATACAAAGTATTGATCTTGGGTGTGTCTGTGAGGGTGTTACCAAAGGAGATTAACATTTGAGTCAGTGGGCTGGGAAAGGCAGACCCAACCTTCATCTGGTTGGGCACAATCTAATCAGTTGCCAGCATGGCTGGAATATAAGCTGGCAGAAAAATGCGAAGAGAGAGACTGGCCTAGCCTCCCAGCCTACATATTTCTCCAGTGCTGGATGCTTCCTGCCCTTGAACATCGGACTCCAAGTTCTTCAGTTTTGGAATTTGGACTGACTCTTCTTGCTCTTTAGCCTGCAGATAGCCTATTATGGGACCTTGTGATCGTGTGACTTAATACTTAATAAACTCTCCTTTATATATATGAATGTATTAGTTCTGTCCCTCTAGAGAACCCTGACTAATACACCATTCAATTCACTACACCCACCAAGGTTGAGAACACAGAAGGAGAAAGATGTCCTAGGTAAACCACAATGAGTTCCATTTTTAGTATGCTGTGATTGATGTGTTTGTGAGATTTCTGAGTAGAAATATCCAGTAGGTGATTAATGTAGTAATCTAAAGCCGTGTGTGAGCCATCAATGCTGGGAAATCTAAAATCTTCCATAAGGGGGTGGAGGAAGTGCCTCATGGGGTGGAGGACATGCCCCCAAACACATCTTGGGACAAAGTGAAGAAGATCAGGGACACAAAATTTAGGTACAAAAAATGAGTTCCTAAAAAAAAAGCCTCAAAAGAAAGGGCCAAAGTGTCTTGAGACTAATCTGGGGAGTAACGCAAAAGAAGAGAGGGGTCAAGGACGAAGGGATTGCATGCAGTGATGAAAGCCACAGTGCAGCCAGCAGGTCCTGAGCAGTGGCTGCAGGGTTTAGCTTCATTGAGATGTTTGGGGCCTAGTGAACGCAGTTTCAGGTTAGTTGTGGGTGAAACCCAGATGGCATAGACATAGGAGAAAGAGAGATGGGGCTGTACTCAGAGTAGATAAAGAATGGAATTGACTTGAGCTAAAGGGGATGCTCCAGGAAAAGGAAAGATTCAAAGGCAAGCCAAAGGGAGCAGGATCAATGGGCGAGGCTTCGAGAAAGTGCAAGAGAGATGGAATGGAATCTTAGGCAGAGGTTTTAGACTGACAGCACAGGGAGAAAAAGGTTTTTATTGTTTTTGTTTTTGTTTTTGTTTGTTTGTTTTTTTTTTTTTTTTGGCTGTAGGGAGGGAATTTTCAAAGGATCGGAATGGATATCAGAAGCTCATAGGTATGAAGGCAGGAAGTAGAGAAAGATGATATCTGCTGCTACTTATTTTCTCTGTAAGTAGAAGATAAGGTTATCTGCAGGGAAGGAGTGGGAAGTGGTGGGTGGGAACTTTGAGAATTGTCAGGAAGGTTTTAAATAGCTACTATGGGTAAGAAAGTTGACTCCAGAAACAGAAAGATTGCTCGACAGCTTCAAGTTGAGACCATGAATGTTCTCAGGCAGCAATCCGCATAGTGGTATGAATTTCTCCAGAGGTCCTAGTGAATCTCAGAGACAGTTGCATCAATGCAGAGTTCAGGCTGAGGAAAATGCAACAAAAAAATTAGCAAGAGAAAAACTTAAGGACATGACAGAGATGCTTGAATGGATGGACCCTAAAGCCCAGGTTGAAAAAGGAAGAAAGAAGGAAAGAAGGAGGGAGGGAGGTGGGGAGGGAAGACGGGACGGAGGGAGGGAGGGAGGGAAAAGGGAAGGAAAGAAAAAAAGAAGGAAGGAAGGAAGGAAGAAAGGGAGGGAGGGAGGGGAGGGGCAGGGCAGGAGGGAGGGAAGGATGGCAGAATGGGTTTCATAAGGGTAGCAGGGTCAAGGCACAGTTTTGCTGCACCCAACGATGAGGGGTGAAGGAAGAAATGAGATGTGTGAAATGCAGAAGGCTATGGGCTAAGAGTTGTGTGTTCGAATTGAGAACTTGAAGGACAGAAGCTCCAATTGATGGCAATATCCAAGTGAGACTAACTGTGACCCTGAGGGGCAAGGAGGATGCTGTCTTAGTTGGTTTCCCTAGAAGCACAGCCTGAGACCAGGACTCCTAGGAAAGTGATTATTGAGGGAGTGCTCTCAGGGTAGTGAATCAAGCAGGATGGGGCTTTGCCTGGACCCAAACTTCAGTTCCGGAGCCCAAATTGTGCTATGAAATGGGCACAGTTGGCTCTGAGGCAGGGACAAGCCTTTTGCAGCCCCACGTCAGCCCTCTGTCAGTCACTGCCACAAGCTGGCCCTGTGTGGTCAAGGGAAGTTCTGGAGAAAAAGGGCCAGCTGTGAGTAGTTGCTGGCCCACACTTACAGCACTTTGGGATTGTCACCCAGTGTGGAAAACGGATCTAAGGAAGACACCACCAGCATCTACCACAGATGCAACCCACCCCTAATCTGACACAGGTGGGTTCAGGGAGAGTCAGCAGATGCCACAAAAGAAGCAGCTGGAAGTTGTGTCTTCAGGGATAATCAGGCTTGACCACTTCAGGAGATAGAATATTCCATAAAGAATCCAATGGGTCTGGGAAATTGTTTCCCACAGGTCAGCAAATACAGAGGGGAGAGAGTCATGGTTCAGTAGGAGAGGAAGCAGTGAGGTGTTGAGAAGGTGTCTTATTCTGGTAAGAGAACCACGAAATAGCAGAGACATTTGAGAGAGGACAGGTGACTCAGAGGCTCTGAGCTTGCATAAGAAGAGCCTGTGGTTTGCATGGTGCCAGGCGTCTAGCTGAATTTTCCCCAGCCAGGCCTGGTAGCAGAAGAGGACTGCACCTCTGTGCTGTGAAGACGTCGGTCTGCTCTTGAGGGACCATGCTCAGAGGGGGCTGTCATCCTGGCGAGCAGGAAAATGAATCAATGGATTGGTTCCAGGACTGCTGCCCATGATATTTCATTCCTAGGAACGACTGCCGAGCCTAACACTCCACACCCCCAACATCCCCACCAGCCAACACCCACCTAATGCCTGGAGGCAGGTCCTCTGGAGGGAGTCACAGATGTCTCAGGCCACAGAAAGAAAACTGTGGCTCCAACTCCACCTGCCAACTTTCCAACCCCTCTCTCTGGCTGAGCTTGAGCAAGGTCTATCTTCTTGGGGTCAATTTAGACAGCTGAAGATTTGTGTTCTAGTCAGGCAACCAGAGGTGGCAAGAAGTCATCCTGAGGAGCCCACAGTGCACCAAATGACAAAAGTGCCATTAGATGTGCCAACCCAGTGAGAGTCATGCCCGTGGAGCCCAGCCAGGCATGTGAAGAGGCACAGGTGTTTAGAGGTTTGTTATACTTTTTCTTTTCTCAGCATATGAACCTGTCACTAAAATTTGTGAGCGAGCGATTCCTAAATCATCCACAGCTCCAGGATCCCTCAGTGTTGGGTTAAAGAACGGGCACTGTTCTTGGCCTCAAAACAGTAGGGTACATTGGCTTGGCTTGTGCTATTTAAAACTAATGAGGTGGCTTTGAATAAATTCTTTACCCTCTCTGGATACCATGTTCCTCATTTATATGGTGAGGGATACTGCTACCAACCTTCCAGGGCTCTTGCATTGAATTAAGGGCAACAAGAAAATCTTCCTGGCATAGGTCCTAGCAATACCAGGTGCTTAGGCAATGTGCCTGCTCATGACTGCAACCCTGAAGGGATCCTGGAAAGCTGGATGCCTTTGCATCCTGGCATCATGGCTGGAGGCACCAGTAGAGGACAGAATTTTGCTCTTCTGCTGCATGTGTGGCTGTGGCTTTGGTCCTCACTGGACTTCACAGTACTGGCTCCAGTTCAGCCTGGTCTCTGAGCAGAACAAGCTTGTGAGACACCCTTGAAATCAACCAGACCAAGCCTCCTCGTCAGCCACTTGGAAATGCAGATTATTTTTTCTGGAAACTTCTTTCCCCTTAGAAGCACTCTTTGGGCCTAGAAAGAAATTGTTTGGAAGAACTCATGGAAAAATACAAATTCTGTTTGTTTGCATATCTCATCCCTGTTTTATTGGTTTATTTGCATTTGTTAGGTAAGTGAGTAGATGAATGAATGGAGATTGTGTATCAGGTGTCATTGTGATGGATGGAGTAGGCTCTGTGGCTCCTTCTAGCTCTGGACATTGTGGAAAGGAGTGAAGAAACTCCAGGGAAAGCATTATCAGAATCAGCGAGCAAGTGGGTAAGGACTTTGTTTTAGGTTCAGTTTGGTTTGAGTTGGTGACTTGGTGGCTGTAGGCTTGTCCATCTGTCCTAAACTACCACACCACAGGCAGCCCCCTACTTCACCTGCCACCATGACCTGCCTGGGCATTGACTTCCAGTCCTGAGATCCAGGGGAAATGGCATAAATTTCTATGTATCTGAACCCAAAGTACCAGAGCAACCAGGATCCAATAGCCTCAATGCAGATAAATGAGTGATGACTGTAAATGGCTTTCACTCAAGAATGGATGACAAGGAGTGAGTTGTGGAGGATATAGAGAAGCAGCAAAACCTCAAGTCTCTTAAAAGACCCTAGAAATGTTATTTTGCAGAGATCCTTGGAGAGACTCCACCTCTCTTCAGGCCAAAGATACAGGCAGCTAGAGTCCCAAAATAGTCATAGCCATATATTAGTTTGCTAGGGCTGCCATGACAAAGTACTGCAGACTGGGTGACTTAACAGAAATTTTATTACAATTCTGAAGGCTACAAGTCCAAGACCAAGGTGTCAGCAGGATTGATTTCTCCTGAGGTCTTTCTTCTTGGCTTATAGATGGTCATCTTTTGGTATCTTCACAGTTTTGGTCCTCCTGGACTTCACAGTATCTTCCAGTCCAGTCTTGTCTCTGAGCAGGTTTTGTGAAGTCCATTGAGGCACTGAGGACCAAAGCTACATAGTCTTCCCTCTGTGTGTGTCAGTGTCCTAACCCCCTTGTTTTGTTTGTTTGTTTGTTTTGTTTTATTGAGACAGAGTCTCACTCTGTCTCCAGGCTGGAATGCAGTGGCGCAATCTTGGCTCACTGCAATCTCTGCCTCCTGGGTTCAAGCGATTCTCCTGCCTCAGTCTCTTGAGTAGCTGGGACTACAGGCATGTGTCACCACACCCAGTTATTATTTTTTTTTTCATTTTTAGTAGAGATGTGGGTTCATCATGTTGGCTAGGATGGTCTTGATCTCCTGACCTTGTGATCTGCCTGCCTCAGCCTCCTAAAGTGCTGGGATTACAGGTGTGAGCCACCGTGCCCAGCCCCTAATTCTCTTTTCTTATAAGGATACAAATCATACTGAATTAAGACTCACCCACATGGCCTCATTTTACCTTAATTGTCTATTTAAATACTGTATCTCCAAACACAGTCATACTCTGAGGCACTGGGGGTTAGAACTTTAATATCTAAATTTTGACAGGACACAATTCATTCCCTAACACCCTGTAACCAGTTTATTGAATGGGCTGGCACCTGTACGGTACAAACAGAAAGCCACTTCATCCTTTCTCATCATTTCTCTTTAAGACTAGGAGACGCAGCTTTCAGCATCTGTGCATTTCTCCTCCTATCACCACCCTGCATAAAGTCTCAGGCTAGCTTCAACTTTTCCAGTGTTCTTCAATAAATAAACCAAATAAAAGCTTATTTAAGTCTAAAACAAAAGCTCATGGACTCTTTGTGGAATTTACAGCTTTTCCCCTCCTCTCTATGTTCTTTCTCCTCCCAGCCTCTCCCTCAGCCCCTGCCCCATCCACCCACCCTACAGGCTGCAGTATCAGCCATGATCTCTATTCTGAGTCAGGTGCAAGTTCGTATGGTTCCCTCAAATTCCAGAGGGTCATGGATCAAGCTCCTAGTGGGTTTCTTGATAATTCCTTCCTTGGTTTTAGGTAAGTGGTGGGAAAATGGCCCCTTTCTCTCTCCCATGAGCTGGGAGTGATATTCAGCCAAATATCTCTGCAAAGAAATTGCCCCTGGCCACTTCCCTATTACTTTTAGGCTAAGAACTGAAAAACTGAATTTGCAATTTCTTCATATGCCATGCATGGTTGCTTGCCACCTAGTTTTTTGGTGTCATTCTTCGGAACCTCAGCAAAAACTAATACAGAAAATCTCAGTTTAGCATCCTTTAAGATTTTCTTTTTGCATAATTTCAAAGCCAACTATCTGTTGGCTCCCTTTCAGAGAATCTTATAAGCCAAGTCTCTGGAAGCAGGGCCTGGCCTGTGGCTCCCAGGAGGAGACTGGTTGAGGCAGGGTCTGTGTCCCAATGTCATTCCTCCTGCACAGGCTATGGTCTTCCCAATATGCCACAATTACATTGTACCTAAATTGACAGGGTTTCAGACTCTTGCTTTCCCAAGTTGAATAATGCGTTAAACATATATTAATGCAATACATTTATGGTTAAAAAATGCCTCCAGCTCTGTATGTTGAAAGCTTTTGTCTCCATTTCCCTAGGGATAAATCATTATTGAAATCAAAAAGAAGAGCTTGGCTCAGCAGCAAAAAAGAAAAATAAAAAAACATGCCTTGTGGTTTGTCCCCAACATTGCAATCTATTCCTAGGTTAAGGATTTTGTAACTTCTTTCTGTCTCTCTTAGGTTTCTTTCCTCTCCTTCCCTCATTCCCCACTTACCTCCCCCCAACACAAGGATGTTTAAGTTCTGCACATAGTGCTCCCATCTGCTCACGTCTTCTCCTATCGCCATGGTTACTGGCCCAGAGTGGTCTCTGTGGAGACAGAGGCAGAACAGTAACCAGGGACAACTACATAGCAAGAGGCTGTGAAAGTGAGGATTTTTTAACCCCCAGTTAAACTGGCATGCCTATACTCATGCGATTTCTTTTTTTTTTTAAGTGGCATGTCAGATTTTAAAATTCTTTTTCAGAAAAAAAGATAAAATATGAGGTGTTTGGTTATGACTATTTTTTTAAAAAAATCAAATTTAGGGTGTGTTCCATATGAAGTACTGGGGTTAACGGTGTGGAAGGTAGGAAGGTGGTGGCCAGATCTCAGCCCATACCCCACGAAAGGGGGCAGACCCATGACAGTCCAGGGTTACTGAAATTAATACAGGAGTTACTGAATTTCATACAAAGGACAATGGAATAAGCCTTCGAAGCTTACATTTCCTGATCCCCAACCATTGGGTTGTGCCATCACAAATCGCCTCAATGACATCCCAGGTCCTGTGGCTGCAACAGACTGAATGTTTGTGTTCCCCACAAACATTTAGTTAATCCCAATCGCCTCCCAAAGGCCCCACCTCCTAACAGCGTGGCATCGGGATTGATGTGATCTTGTTAGCAGGGGGGGCCTTTGGGAGGTGATTAGGTGATGAGAGTGGTGCTCTCGTGAGTGGGGTTAGTGCCTTTATAAGAATAGGCCAGACAGCAAAGTCACTCTCTTTTCACCATGTGAGAATGTGGTGAGAAGTCAGCTCTCTGCAACCAGAAGAGGGTCCTCACCAGAACCCAACCATGCTGGCACCTGGATCTCAGACTTCCAGCCTCCAGAACTGTGAGAAATAAATTTGCTGTTTATAAGCTCCCTGGTCTATAATACTTTGTGATAGCAACCCATGCTTATGGTGACGGTGCCCAGTAGTCTTCATTTTATTTTTCTCCAACCAGATGGGATTTTATTTGCTTTGCTCTGGGCTCATGTGCCACAGGAAGGTGTAGATGCCTGATATGATCAGCGGGGAACTCCTGTTTAGTAGAATCGAGTATGGGGTTTAATATCATCAGGGAGTCTCCTCTAGGCTAGGCTTTGCTTCTGACTACTTGGGGACTGACACAGGTCATTTCTTGTTCTATGAAATGGGGTGGCACAGCAGTATGTTGGATTACAACAGAGTATCTCAACCTTGGCTGCACTTCAGAACCACCTGGGAGTGTGTCCAAAATACCAATGTCCTGGCACACCCCCTGTACCATTAAATCAGACACCCTGAGAGTGCAGCTTAGCAGTATTTTTAAAACTTTCCCAGGTAAGTTTAATGGGTAGTCAGGTAAAAGTCAATGACCTGGACATGCTCCAAGGTCCCTTCCAGCTCTGCAAGCAAATGAGAACATGCCCAGCGTGGACTGCACACAGGTATGGCCAGTTGGCAGGAGGCACCACTGCAAGGATTCCTCCTGGCTGTGTCACCAGCTGGGCACCTCCAGCGTGGGCACAACCAAGGTTGAATGAAGCCCAGACTGGCACCGAGAGGCCTGGGCACTGACCTGATTGGTCATAAACCAGCTGTGTAACCTTAAGCAAATCTCTTTCAACTGAATGGCACAGTTTCTTCATCTATAAAATGAGGAAGGCAATATTTTGAAAGGGTTAAAATGCAGACTCTGGAGCCTGTGTAAATTCAGACACTGACTATGTACTAAACTGCTGTGTGACCTTGAGCAAGTTACTTAACCTCTCTGGGCTTCAGTTTCTTCCTGCATAAAATGGAAAGAATAATAGTACACAGTTCAAAGTATTGAAGGATTCACTGAACTGATTTACGTAAAATGCTTATCAGTGCCTGTCTTTAATAAATACTCAATAGATGTTGGAATTTACAAATCAACATTACAACATTACAAAGTAGAGGGGTTGGACTAAACATTCTCTGGGGAACTTTCTCTGTCTCTGATGCTAGGTCCTGGGAGACAAATGGTGGCTTTGGCAGATAGAAGTGGGAAGGGCTTTGCAAACAGAGAGAAGGGAGGCAAAAGAAATCTGAGCATGCATGGGAACAGTAACTGGAGTGCACAGACTATTGGGAAAGGGGACTAGAGCCAAGGGAGAAACGGGACCATTAGACTAAAAAGTGGGGAAAGGTTATGGAAGCCCTGAGATATCAGGGTGTGGAAGTGGGGCTTTCCATGTACACTAGTGATTCCAAACATTCTTCAGTAGTGGATTTCAGCTTCAGACAAAGTTTTATAAGGAATCTGATTGTATACAACAAATAAAAGTAGAAATTTTTGAGTTGCAGCCCAGATGGGAGTCTGGAATCCCTGGTCTTGTTGTCCTTCTCTTACCATGGCTGGCCCTTCAGTAGTCCCTCTAGTGCTCCAAGATTTCATGGAGCAAAGTTAATATTCTCTACTGTAAATAACTAGAAATTATTGGGACACAGGAGCTGATAGAGTTTGAATATTTGTTCCCTCTGAATCTCACGTTGAAATGTGACCCCAGTGTTGGAGGTGGGATCTGGTGGGAGATGTTTGGGTCAGGGGAGTGGATCCCTCGTGAATGACTTAGTGTCCTCCCCAAGTAATGAGTAAGTCTTCACTTCATTAGTTTGTGCAAGATCCGGTTGTTAAAGAGTCTGGCACCTCCCTCCCCTCTTCTCTTGATTCCTTTCCCACTGTGTGACGTACCAGCTTCCCTTGCCTTCTGCCATGAGTAAAGGTATCCTGAGGCCTCACCACAAGCAGATGCTGCTGCTATGCTTCTTGTACAGCCTACAGAACCATGAGACAAACAAACCCCTTTGCTTTGTAAATTGCCCCATCTCAGGTATTCCTTTACAGTGATGCAAAGTGGACTAATACAGGAACCAACTTTTAAAGAATTTTTCATACTCTGTGCTATGGACAATCTGTAGGCTAGATGATAAGGGTGAGGAGGGTGGGAACAAAAACACAATTATTGGGATATCTATAAAGTCAGAGACAGAATCTTGAGCTGCAGAGTTCATGAACCTGAGTGACTAATACATTTTCTGGCTTGTTTTCATAATGTGCCCCATCCGCCAGAACAGTTAAGGTGCTTACCTGAGTTTACCTATGACTGAAAGCAAAGGTGTATTATTTATTATTTAAATACTGCTGTAAGAGTGCCAGGTAATACACAATCACAAAAATCTCACTGGCTTATTAAAACAAATGTTTATGTCACATTTACAGGTGGACAGGCCAACAGTGATACTATTGGCACCTGCTGGGTTGGCTGAGCTTGACTTTAGAAAATGGGCTGGATTTAGTTCCACCCCGTATATCTACTCATTCTGGACCAGCAACTACCTGGGATGCTTTATTCTTGTGGTAAAGTGAAGAGTAAAAGACCAGCAGAGCTTTGCCATGACTCTCCAAGTTTCAGATCAAAGCAGTAACTGTCACTCTCACCCACATTGCATTAACCCATGCACATCATATGGCCAAAGCCAAAGTCAATGAAACAGACAACATTCTACCCACAGGGAGGACTTGGCAATAGAAGTAGAGAAAGAAATATGGGTCAACAAATAATACTACCTACTACAGGTGGGGGTGATGGGGAAGCCGAGTAGTCACCAAGCCAGAAGCTTATCTACTCCTCATTCTTTCATACCCAGCTCATATTCTATCTCCCCCAACAAGCATTCCCAGTCCAGCTCTCATTCTCTGACCTACTCCAGGTGGACTTTGACCCCTCTGTGAGCTCTCTCCTGTGTGAGATCATCAGGTGGTCATGAACACTGGCTTTCCCTTGGTGCCCAACACAAGTGGGCACATAGTGGTTGCTCAGTCAAGATAAACTGCTTGATGTATAGATGGAGGAAGGATCCAGGAAACTTCCCTGGAAGAGTGAGGTGGGATGATAAATTCAGGGGGCATTCCACTCTCTCTTTTCATACCACCAGCACTGCCTTTGAACATGGCAATGTGAAGGAAAGAACAAAGGCTTTGGAGTCAGAGAGACTCAGGCTGAAATTACAGCTGTACATTCACCAGTCCTGTGACCTTAGATGAGTTGCTTTGCTGTACAGTGCCTCCGATTTTTTATCTGTAAAATGAGGATAATAGCAATTACTTTGCAGGATGATTACTATTTTCAAACATACTCCTTGCAGTCCTGCCTCAAGACCTTGGCAGTTGCTGTCACCCCTGCTGAACACAAGGTTCCTCCATTTATCTGTGTAGCTCACTGTCTTATCTCAGTAGCGTCTTGGCCAAAATGTCATCGGATCAGTGAGGCCTCTCTTTATCATTTTATATAAAATAGCATACACTCCATTATCTCACTCTATCTTCTTGCCCTGTTTACTTTCTTTGTCGTATTTATCAACACTCAACAGTTATCTGTTTGTTGTTTACGTGCTTCATTATTGTCTGTGTACCTTCCAAAACATAAAGTAGACTCTGTGGGAAACTAGGGCTTTGTGTTTTAAGTATTTTAACAATCTCTGGATCTCATTGCCCACAATGGTGACTGGAAGCTGTTTAGTGAGTATTTCTTGAATGGATGAACTGTGAGTATTGAATAAGATTGCGTCCGTAGAGTCCCCGCACGGTGCCTGGCTTACTCAGTAAATAGTAGCAGTTATTCTGAGTGGCCTCTTCTAGCCTGTTCCATTGATCCCAGCCTGTATATTTCTGCTCAGGGGCCAGAGGACATAGCTAACCAGAGAAGAGCACTGAGCCTCTGGGCACCTGCCTGTGTGCAGACTCAGGCACATAATTAAGAATTTTCAAGGCTTTTCACTCTTCTTCCATCCTTAGCAAACAGAAGGGCCTTGATCTTGAGAGGCCTAGAGTGTATTCCATCATCTCTACTTCCTCTGAGGGCCCTGGACATACATCACCCAGATTCACCATGTGAATCACAAGCATTCAGCTCATTCCTAAATGCCCTCCTCTGTGTAAGGCAGACAAATCAAGCCGGAAAACTGAACTCTAATTAAACACATGCATGGTCTCATTTTATTCTATTAGAAAAGACTCTGGAGTAGAATGTATTGACATGAATTGTGTGCCTGAAACTCTTTCACACGCAAAGAAAAAAAAAACCCACACTGTGCTGACGACTTTGGCCCCTGTAATATGAGATTTATACAACCTCTGAAGAAGTGAGATAATGCTGGGAAAATGAGATATTAAAGCATACACAGTTTTGTGAAAAACATTGAAATACAGTTTAAAGTTCAAAAACCCCGCTTCATTGGTGTTTTTTAGATGTGAGGCGCTTTGCTTAAAACCAGGAGTGATGAGTCCATCCTGTTGAAGTGAAATGAGCTCAGGAGTAACTCATTTATTGATTCAAGGTTATCCTGGATCCCACGTGCTGGTAGTGGCCTGGATCCTGAGGATACACTTAAACAGAGTCTGTGCCCTCAAGGACCTGCTCTTCCATAGGGTCTCAGTCGTTCTCACAGTGGGGGCCCCAGTGAAGGGGCTCTAATAGAGAGAACCATGCCTTGCCACAGCTGTGATCCAAGGAGGGAGTGAGTAATGGCCAGAGAGAATAATCAAGCAAACATTCATTGGAGCCACTTGGGTTGCATCTTACAACACACGCAGGTGTTCAACACACAAGACAAGAAAGGAAATGTATTCCGGGCAAAGGGAACAGCATGCAGGAAGGCACTGGGGGGACAGAAGACAGCAAAGTCACTTTGGGGAACTGTGATATTTAGTAGGATGGGGAAAATGGGACTTCTCTAAGAGATTGTTCTCTCTCTGCTTTCTTGAGAACAGTACCAAACATTGCCACATATGATATCACAGGACAAAAGTTTTTCAAGTGTTTATTTTCACAGGAGTTTTGAGAGACCGTACTGTGCAGCCTCTGCTCCTAAAGCTGACTTTGTCAGAGGCTGTGCCTTGCAGTCCCATGGCACATCCATGGAAGAAAGTTCACTGGCTTCCAAAGAGGCCCTGATGGAGCAAAACATGCCCAGAATATACTTGTGTGCACACAAGCACACACACACACACTCACTCACTCTTACTCCTTGCCTGATTTGATGAATACATGTATTTTCCAGTCTTCCTAATCTGAAATCTGATCATCCTCTTCTCATTTTAAAGTCCATAGATCCCTACTGTCCATCCAGGACAAAGTCCATGCCAGTCAAGTGACTCATGAGACTCGTCACTGTCTGGACCCATCCACCTCTCCAGCTCTATCTCGGACCATTCCTGCTCGGTACTTTTTGCACCCACATCCAGCAGCTTCTGGTTTTCTGCACACAGGCTTTCATTTCTTGCTTCTTCATTTCTCAAGTTGTTTTCTCTTCCACAGGGGCCTACCTCTCTTTGCCTGTTCCATACCTACTCAGCTTCAACACTTGGCTTAAGCTTCACCATGAAGTCTCTTCCCTGGGCAGGGTAGCACTTCTCACTGCATGCCTCATTGAGTTGAGAATCCCTGCTCTGGGGTCCCAGAGAGCACTGTGCTCCCACAGAGCTCCTTTGAAGGCTCACTTGCCGGTTTCCATAGGTATAACCCCTCTCCACCTGCCCAGGGCTGACTTTTCCATTAGGTACAGTGCCTGGGACCCATGATACTTTTAGAAACTAATAAAAATGTTTTAATCTCCTTTAAGATCAAAAGACAAACTGAACATAGTAACATTAACGAACATGTAATAATGACTCATGCCCAGATTGTGTTCATCTTTATGCCAATGTAGTCATAAAATATATGATGATTTTCAATTTTTAAATTTTTTATTTTAACAGCAGAAGGAGCCCATGAAGGCAAGAGTGCCTAAGCCCTTGGAATTCATAAAGTAGCCCTGTCTTGTCTCCCCCACTAAACCAGCTCATGAGGTCTTTGGGACCCTTCTCTGGTAGCTCCCTTTCTCCCAGTGCCCAGCTCAGCACCTGGGCGTGTGCTCACTAGAGGTGTGTTGAAGGAAGTGGATCATCTTGGGTAGAGAAAGAAGGGAAGGCTGCTGTCAGTGTCTCCACAAGGGAACAGGGCATGAAGTCCTAGGAAATCAATGACTATAACCCTAAAGCTCTATTTGTAAGAGCTGAGGGAAGGGAGCTGAGGACAATTTGAAATATCGAAGGAAGTCTACATAAAGCAGCCATCCAGACCTAGTCTGTTCCAAGATATCAGAGTCAATTGAATGGTTCTACATTGTAATTATATGGAAGAATTAGTTCTGGCCAAGTCTTCAAAAATAATCATTTGAAAATGCATGATTCTCGAGACAATTCTAGCAGACTGAAAAAAGTAGGTGAGCCTCTACATCCACAGGAAAAATGAGTAATGGGTGATATATTTTTATTTTGGTGTGATTTTTAAATGTATGGCTCCTGAAATAATACTCACCTAATGTCTATAGGCAAACTACTTAGTAACAGATTCAAAAGATGCATGTACATTATTTTTAGAGGACGATGGAACGCCTTACTGGAAATTATTTTGTCAGTTTCCAAAGAAGATAAATCACAGCCTATAGTACAATCGGGAAGTAAAACATTGTCAGTCACAGAATCCTAGACTTGTTAAACTAGCAAACACCTTAGAGAACATTCTGTGCCCTACCTCACTGAATAGATGAGGAAACTGAGGTCTCCAATGGGGAGCAACTGGCCCAAGGTTACTAAGCAAGGTACCCAGCAGTGACAAAGCCGAGAGTGAGTGTGGCCTCAATTCCTGAGTTCCAGTGCTAACATCACCTTGCCATGCTGCAACACCATTCCACTGGAATAAGAGAAGGGATCATGCAAATGTTCGTTTTCCTTTTGAAGTTCAGAGCTACTTAGAATTCTTTGGTTGTGGGCAAGAGGTAGCTGTGGGAGCATAGAGAGCTCTTTCTGATTATTACAATGTGAGATCAAATGAACGGGCTCACAGCTTCACTGGGGTCACTTTATGTCCAATAGTTCGTGAATTAATGCAGCCAGGAGAGTCTCAGCCAGGCCTGCTCTACAGTCTGCAGATCAGTAGGCTAGCCTAGAGTCCTCTGATGGGACTGTGGAGAAGAAAAGGCTAGGACCAGAAGCAGTTACATCCCTCACCTTGAGATAACACCAGCAGGGTAGGCAGGATCCAGCCAGGGCTCCCCCTTCACTCCAGGCTCAGATGTGCATGCGGTCTCACGGGAGGCTCCTGGACCCCTTTAGTGCTACCCCAGAAGATTAAAAGCACCTGCTTATCGGATCCTGCCTCTTCACCTTGCTGCCTGTTGGACTCACCCCTTCCCACACATTCTCTGTAGTCCCTCAGGGTATGCAATATCCAAGCCAATTAACTCTCAGCACGGTTTTCCAATCCTATAAATCCTCCAGCAAATTCAGAATTTTTGAAAGAAGACCTTCATTTATTCAAATATCCAATTTATAGTAATCAACCTGGAATGTGAGGGTAACCAACTTTAATAAATTGGTTCTGTTTGGTACAGAGGAAATCTCCAGTTGCTGGATTATTGGTTTTCAAAATGTGCTATTTTGTTCATGCAACTTTGATTGAGTCCCTACTTTGTATCAGGCACTGGAATTAAAAGATGAAGAAATCACAGTTCTTGCTTCTAAGAAGCTCTTGGGGAGAGTCAGATAAGTAAACCAGATATTTGTGGCAATTGTGATAAGTGTTAAGACTGAATAATTTTCAGGATAGGGATTCTATTTATGACAACATGATAGATTAGATACACAGGAAAATCACTTAAGCACAGTTTAAATGCTAGCTAAATTAAAAATATATATGTTTGACCCATAGCTAAGGTAGGTGGAAAGGAAATTCCTCAGAAGCCAGAAATGACAAGGAAGTTACAAGCACTAATCCGCAGGTGAAACTAGTACAGGAGCCAGGTACTTTGAGGCTGTATGCTGATATCTGGGTGCTTAGAACCTGGGTCTTAATGAGTATCAAATAAGACCAAAGAAAAACCTTGGCCTTTAGCAGGATTGACTGAATCAAGGATACCCACAAAAGCCAGGCCGCTTTGAGGAGCAACATTCGAATGTTGCTCCTGAAACAAGGGGATAAAACCTACCCTACAAAAGCACACAGTGAGGCTATGTTTTAATTAAACAAGAAAGAAATAAAAACCAAATTCTTTCATAATTTTTAAACTTGTGTGTATACTCCTGTAGGTCTGTGATCAAAATTAAACTTACCTATGTAGCAAAAAAGAAAAAAAATCCAAAACCAAAAATACCCTCTAGGCTTTAGTTCTTAATAGGCCTAGATTGCTACTGCTCCAAAGACACCAAGGGCAAATCCTCTCAGCAGAAATGTATTTTAAACCAAGGCTTCAAAGAATTCCCACAGATAAAGAACTAAAGAGCATGAGCTCACAATTAAAACTCACTCAACAGAAAAGGAGAAATGTCCCTAGCAGAGGTGGTGTAAATCATATAGGATTACAAGGGAAAAGGCTGCAGGTATTTCAATTATAAGGAAGAGAATATGAAGCAAATATCTATAATGTTTCTAGAAATATAAAATGGAATCAAAAGTATAATGAAGAAATAAGATGCTAAAATTGATCTGACAGATGTAAAATAGAAAAAATAAACAAATATAAATTCCAGAGCTAAAGTAAAAGTGTATATGTGTTTTAAAAATGGCTACATTTAATTACCAATTTTATTGGAGATAAAATTTATGACCTGGAGGATTCATCTGAAAAAAATTATCCAGAATGTACCCCCCCACCAAAAAATAGAAAGACACAAGTAAAGAGACATGAACAATAAACTGAGAAGGTATTAATATGTCTAATTAGAATCACCAGAGGAGAAAGAAGAAAGACTGAAGTCAAATCACTGCTTTAAGAAAAAAGGAAGAGGTACAATAATTTCAGAAGGAAAGTTGAAGACTACAAATGGAATAGTAAACAAAGAAAATGTTAAAAATGTGAGTAAATGTAAAAATATCTATTGCATTAAACTATTATAATATGTTTAGTAAATTCATACACCTAAATAAACAAGAAAGAGCCAAAATTCAGGACAACATTAGCAAATTATTTAGAATTGAGATGATCAGAGTTAATGTGTCATAAAATTTTCATACTGTTTAGAAGAAGTTAAAGATACTGACCAAGTTCAGAATTTAACTTGTGCGTGTGTGTGTGTGTGTGTGTGTGTGTGTGTGTGTGTATGTAACTTCCACAATAGTTGAAGAAAATTAAAGTATGAAAGAGAGATATAAATCAATCCAAAAGAAGTCAAGAAAGAAAAAAGATAGGGCGTGGTGGCTCACACCTGTAATCCCAACACTTTGGAATGCCAAGGAGGGTGGATTGCTTGAGGCCAGGAGTTCGAGACCAGCATGGCCAACGTGGCAAAACCCTGTCTCTACTAAAAATACAAAAATTAGCTGGGCATGGTGGTGGGCACCTGTAATCCCAGCTACTCAGGAGGCTGAGGCAGGAGAATCACTTGAACTGGGGAGGTGCAGGTTGCAGTGAGCTGAGGTCATGCCACTGTACTCCAGCCTAGGTGACAGAGAGAGACTCCATCTAAAAAAAAAAGAAAAGAAGAAGAATGAAAGAATAAAGGAAAGACAAAAAACTTGGAAACTACAAATGGTAGTAAAGGAAGGATAAATTGGTATAATGGCTTTTGAAAACAATTTTGCATTGCCTAAAGGAATGAAATTTGCATTTTTGACACAACACTGTCATTTCTAAGTATATAGTTTAAAAACTATATTTTTAACTTGCAATCTACACTAAGAGAAATGTTCAAAAATGTTTATGAGAATTTCTTACAAGAACAAAAAATAATACTCTATCATCAGGAGAATGGATACATAAATTGTGATGATTTATACAGTGGAACCCTATATAACAACGAAGGAACTCATGGACATTGGTCTTACGCATCATCATGGATGGATCTCGAAGATATAACGTTGAGTGAAAAAAGCAAATCAGAAGAATACGAATTGTAAGTCATTTGATTCAATGTACAGAAAGTTTAAATATAGGTAAAACTGTAATGTGTTGTTTACATATGATTGCAAATGTGGTCAAATTCTACAGAAATAAAAAAGATAATTCAAAAATTCAGGAACGTGGTGATCTGAATTTTTTCCCTAGGGAGGGGAAGGGAATGGGTCAGAGAAAGGCACACAATGTTTTCAAAAAGTTGACAATCAAGCCAGGTGGTAGGTATCTGGGTGTTCATTTTATTATTATTCATTAAAGTATATGGCTATATTACGCACACTCATTTGTAAGTTTTTAAATGCTTCTAAAAAATAATAGAGAGAATAGGAGAAAAATGAATGCCAGTAGTGCCAAAAAAAAAAAAAAATGATGGTAATCTCATCCTTACAGCAGCAAAGTAGTGTTTCAGTTTCCCAGAGGACAAGATGCCTTTTTTTTGAAGAATGAATGGAAGATCTCTAGATCAAGGGGATGCCTGCTCAGAGGCAATTCAGAGCATGGACAGTGGAAAAGCACAAGTGACTGTGTCTGTCTGAGGCGTGGGGTACACTGGGGGCCTGGCAGAGGCAAGGCTAGAAAGTGAGGCAGGCGCCGGAGCTGGTTTAGAGCCTTGTTCATGCTCATGTCACGATCAGGAAGGCATTTAGCTGACTTGGAATTTCCTCTCGGTGATGGCCTGAGATATCATATTTTATGTGGGTGACAGGGATGAGATTCATTTTAAGTGAAGCACACATAAATCTCTATTCTGAACGGCCTTGCAGCACTCTCTTGCTGGAGGATGGGATGTGAGCCTCAACCTAGAGGCAATGGGAAGAGTCTCTTGGGTAGGAAGGAGATGAATGCCTCAATAGACACACACTGCCAGCATTTCAGCAAAAACAAGTGTATGAAACCATTTTCTCTATGGTTGGAAAATTATCATCATCATGAGTATATTAAACTTTTTTACTTAAAATGTGTTTTTGGCTATTAAGTGCAGTATATTTTTTGATGTTTAAAATTCAGACAGAGAAATTGTGGCCAAGGAAATTGTCAGGTATCATTCACAGTAATTAGAAACCAGAATTCCTGCAAACAGTTAAAACCCAGGACTCCCGAAAGCTTAAAAAGTGATGATGAACTTAGAAAATGAAAGTCAAGAACTGTTGAGTACAAACATTCGGGTTGACCCTCTCTGCACTGTGAAGTTGCAGGCAGAGAGGCAGAACTTTCATTCTGTGATCACTGGTGCTTGTCAGATATGGAGTCCACGTCATATGATGACTTCAAGAAGGAAGAAGAAATGGGTCCAATGAGAAAGGAAGATGAGGAGAGAGCACGCCATGACATAGTCTTTCTAGTGGAAAATGACTAACACTAATTTCTTCAAGCGTCTAAGTCATCAACTGCCTTTCAGAGAGCCTGAGACACTGTGCAGGGAATATGCAGGCTAGTGCCTTTGAAAGCAAATTTCTCCAATTTACCAGTTGTCCCAAACCATGATCACTTCTCATCTGACATCTTATTACCTCATTCTATAGACAAAGAAAGATGCAGTGCCCATTTATTTTTCTTCTAGACATTCTGCCCAGGAATCATATTCACTTGTGTTCAAACTAAAGATGCTCTGGGCTAAATTTCTCTCCTTAGTTTGGGCTACAGGTGGTCTCAGATCTATTTGGGCTTTGATGTTTATAGCTCTTTTATGTTATGAGAAAGGTGGCTACATATGCCAAAAGTCTCTCCCCTGCAATAATGTAGAACCAGTATTTAGTTTTGCATTGTTCTACAGTGTTTCCTCAGATGTAGCAGAGTGAAACAGTGACTCTTAAAATAGATCATCAACTCAGAGAGAAACCTGATGAGACATAGTCAAGAAGGATGAAATGATGCCCAGACAACTGGCGGAGTACTACGTGCAGAACAATCCCGTGCTCTGCAGTAAGTAAACATGCAGGAAACAGACCCCTCTGTTGCCTTTAACGTTGCAAAATCATGACAGGAGAAAACATGCTTCTTAACCTGTTTTCTTAAGTTTAAGAAAAACAAACAAAACCTGATGTTTTATGGAAAAGTTACCTTGATGCTCACAGAGAGTATTGGCAGTGTTATTACACACTTACAAGGTATGAAACTCATAGGAATTGTGGTTTTGGTTTTTCTTGTTTTATTTTCCCTATTTCATAAGAAAAAATGATCAAAACAGAAGTACTTTGAGAAGATGAAACACAGTCAGCTGAGTTGTTGAAATGCCCCCAAATTCTTACATAAGGATGGAGATGTATGTCTCAGCCTCTCATGCTGGCCATTGTAATGGGAAAAGCATTTGAGAGTCAGTGAACAGCTGGCTGCTTAATTACAAGAAAATTGTTATTGGGACAGCTACAGAATACACAAAGCTGAGATTCTGGGTCTTTTTACACAAAATATTTTCTTATATAAACACTACTATTTGTATTATCTTGAACATTAATTTAATGTTAAAATTATTCCTAAGAAGGTGTGTTAGTCCATTTTCACACTTCTGTAAAAATACTACCTGGGACTGGGTAATGTATAAACAAAGGAGGTTTAATTGACTCACAGTTCTGCATGGCTGGGGAGGCCTCAGGAAACTTACAGTTATGGCAGAAGAGAAAGCAGGCACCTTCTTCACAAGGCGGCAGGAGAGTAAGTGAGGGGGAGAAGCACCAGACACTTATCAAACAACCAGATCTCATGAGAACTCACTCACTATCACGAGAACAGCATGAGAGAAACCACCCCCATAATTCAATCACCTCCCACCAGGTCCCTCCCTTGACATGTGGGAATTGCAGTTTGAGATGAGATTTAGACACAGAGCCAAACCATATCAGGAGGATAGGATGTATGAAGCATTCTTAGGAAATATATTCCACACTCCTCTTTATGTTGGTAAAAATACTTTCCTATATTCCTCATACCCATGTCAATCTCCTGACTTGTGTTCTCTCCTAGGATTTATTTGTGGTATCTCTTGTGCTTTTAGATATTTAAGCAGAATTGCTTTCTCCATAATGTCTTGGTCCCAATCACACTAATCATATGTGGTCACTCTATTTTCACCTTCATATATATTTCACAGTCTTTCTTTTGGAAAAAAAAAATCCTATCTTCTGGGCAATTCTTATCCCTAGCCCAACAATCCTAATCATAGTTCGGCTTTCTGGCAGCGTGTGGCCTTTTCCTTGGCAATGTTGATATGAAGCAATTCCAAAACAAGCAAATCCTAGTAAGCCTCTGTTTTCCCAGAAAATAGCATGGCACACTCAACAACTCGTGGGTGTTTTTGCATCCTCGAAAGTTCAGCTGACAACCTTCATTGTCTTCTGCTGTCTTGGAAATTGAAAGGTCACCTTAAAGTAGAGGCAGCTTTCCCTGTGTCACCCAATGAGTTAGAAGAACTCTTGACTCCCAGCTCTTGCCACACAGTGGTGCTAAGATCATGGGTATTTGACTAGGTTTCTGTTGGGTATTGGGCCAGGGAATTTTGACTCCATTTTCTCTGGTTACATCAAATCCCGATATTCAGTGATCCACTATCTGGGTTTTTGTCACTCGTGGCTCCCTTCCTTCCCTTGCTGCCAGCAACTCTATGTCCTCCATTCTGAACAAACATCACATATGTGTGCACAGGAGAGTGCTTGCACACACACACACACACATTGTCATCATCATCATTGTCATCATCTCCACACCTCCCACCCCTTTGACCCTGTTACTTTCCTCCTCAAATATCAAGGAAAGCACCCAACAGGTGAGAAGGGCTTCTCAGTGTACCTTTTCTGCAGTTAATTGCCTCCTATCCTCTCTCTGACATTCAATGCGCCATTGAGTTCAACCAATATCTGCTGGAAACTGTGTTAGGCCTTAAGAATACATATTTGAACAGAATATTGGCCTTACCTTCTACTTGTTCACTGTCCAGTAGGGAAGGCAATCGTGAAAATAAATAATTGAAAACGAAACATGATTAATAAGAGAACTGAAAGATTATGTGACTCTTCTGAAGTCACAAGGCCAGTGACTAAGAAAAAATGACTAGAACCCAGGTTTTTTGTATCCTAGCTAGGGACTTTAGCAAAGTTTTGCAGAAAAAAATACACATTAGTTTTAATGATAATGAAGCAAAAGTGACTTAGCGAAAAAAATTGAATTGCCCATATGTGTGTGAAGAGCTTTAAAATGCTGCAAGGAATAGACAGGAATAAAGACGGAGTAGAAAGGTGAAGAGGAGGAAAAGGAGGAAGAGGAGAATGAGAAGGAGGAGGAAGAGAAGAGGAAAAAGACTTTAAAAAAATAGAATAATATATGTTCTCATATTCCATTTTAAGAAGGTGGATACCAAACAGTATCTTGCCAATGACTGTTGGCAATTACAGTGCTTGCCAATTACTATTGCTCTAAGCCTCGGAAAGAGTCTCTGAAGTCATCTGGGGTGAGTGTAACTTCCGGAAGAGAGTTGGGAAATGTAGAGCATGAGAGATCAGGCACTGGGCCTCTCCAGAATAATAGTTTCTTTTGGATTTTCCACTCATGGAAAGTGGACTCCTTCCAGAAGAATCAGAAGAGGCAAGGGCTAGGTATTTGTTGGAGTGTCCCCCACCCAGCTCCAACAGAAGAAATATTGAACCAATCCCCAAAGGCAGAAAGGGAATGCATACTGGCTGGAAAAGATAAAATGTGATGAAGTGGAAAAAACCCATTCTGGAGTCAAACTACCTAGGTACTGGTCCTAACTCCTCCATCTGCTGATGTCAACCTCAGTCATGCCACTTTACTCTCAAGTACTTGAGTTTTTTGTGTATAACAGGAGAATAATTATACTGTCACTGTTAGCCTTCTAGGGAAGCACTATGGTAACGATAAGTTAAAGAATGCAAAGGTCAGGTATTCTGAAAGGCTGCAAACACATGAGGGGTTATAGAAAAACTAACATAGCATGCAACGACTCGTGTGTCACTGAATCATCAACCACCTCGTTCATTCGTTCCATCTGTAAGCTTTCACTGTCTTCCCTCTGCCAAGCACTATGCTAGATGCAGAGCTTCAGAGATGACTGGGACATGACACCTACTCTCAACGAGTTCACAGTCTAGAGGAGGAGACAGACACTCAAAGAGATAATCAAATGCGAAATGCAAGGGCCAGGATGGCATATTGAAGAGATGGCCTCGGCTATGTGAGTCAGGGGTTATCTCTCGGCTGAAGAGAAAACTACAACTGGCTCTTGAAGAGTGTTTAAGGGTTGAGGATACGTTTAGGATTTGAAGGGCAGAAGGCAGGGCAGAAAACACAGCTTTGGCAGAAACATAAGTCCAGGCTGCTCTTGAACTAGAAAACAGTGAGTCCCCTGGGAGGGACCTGCTTCCTGAAGGGCTTCCCACTCTCCCTACCCTAGATTCTGACTCAAGCTCTCAGGGATGTATGCCTTCCAATTCTCCCACTGAAATGGAAGACATACAAATTAACTCTCTGTTATTGATCTGAGTGTGTTATACCCCTTAGGAGTGTGGAGGTGGTGAAGGTATTTTGAGAGTCACTGAGCGTGATTCTTGTGCAAAACATCTGTGGATGTGTTTTTGTATAGGCTATGAATGGCTGCATTTGTATCTACATACAAACTTCAGTAGTGTCATCAGCCAAAAAGAAACTGTATGGAAACTGCATGGACACATATTGAAAAGTCAAGCATCAAATTCCATACCAGGTCCCAAACATGAGCTATGTTTGTAATTACAGTGATAAAGGAAGAGCTTTTCAAATGGCTTATGTTCCTAATCTGTGTCATTATTCAGGAACAGACCTGCAATTTCCCTGCTGCATTATTGATGCTCAGGGAAGGCAGAGCCCCTGTGTGCTCCAAAGAATGGCTCAAGTAACGGGTATGACTGAAACTAAGCTATATTCAAAGATGGTCTTTAGCCCTATTCAATCCTAACTGGCTTTAACCCAATTAATCCTACCTCTGACTGCCTCTATTTTCTTCCCACTTCTGCTCCTCTTCTCACAGCAAAACTCTCTCTGTGCCCCCTAAACACACACATACACATACACACACATACACACACAAATGCACTCCATTAGTGTGGCTTCAACAAGTCTTACCTCTTTGGGTGAATTTCTCCTACCCATCCACCCCCATCAACACTATTCTATTCTCCTGGACAAGAGCCAAACATTGCAGTTGTTATTATTACATCCTTCTTTCTTGCCTTGCAGACAAATGTCCCACCAAACATGCATCTATTCTCCTTTCCTCACCTCAAGCATTGTTCTCCTGAAGGTCTCAGTAGGACAATCTCCTGACTTGCCATCCTCCCTTTGTCCCATCTCAGCCTGCTTCTCATCTTCACTCAATCCATCTTTCATACAGTGGCCACATTGACTTTCCTCAAGCACGAGCATCTTAGTGCCCACCTTTTTCTTAAAAAGATTACTGGTTATATGTTGGCTGAATGTTAAATCCCATTGGCTGGCATCCTGGTTCTCCCCAGTCTGCGCTCTTCCAGTTACACCTTTCAATGAATACACCCTTCCAACCAGCACAAAGAGGCTATTTCAGGAAAATCCATCATGGTCCTACTCTCCTTCAACAACACATCCTGCTTATTCCCACTGAGGTTCTGTGCCACCTGGACTGTACTGTTTCAGGATGTCCTTCTATCGTCAGAAGCGCCATATCCCATCCTTCCTCCAAAGCTCAATTGGAGCCTCATAACCTTAAAATGTTGCCCCAACTTGCACTGGATTTCTCCATGGCATGAATTCCTTCTGGTTTGCCAAGTGGCTGGAATTAATTCTTAGCTATTTCCTGGATTTATACATCAGCTTCTTAGCAGGATAATAAATTTCCTTAGGATAGGATAGGGATAATAAATTATAGGTGTGTCCCACTAAGACTGGCCCACAGAAAATATTTAGCAATTGCCTTCAAATCAAGGAATTTCTTTTTATAGCCAATCTGAAATAGATGTTTTTAAGACAAAGAAAAACATACATAGTGCTCTACAAATTAGGTGCGTATGCTATTAAAATAATAAAGATTATATTATATTCAAAAATGTTTGGCCTCAAAGTTCATTATTGTGGGCACTTTGACAGATAAATAAAATTAATTTTAGAAAGGGGTTAATAGTTTCAATGGGCATGATAAAGTATTTTCAGGTATTCTGTAGCGACAAGGATGTATGCACTGGTCGGAGATTTCACAGAAGCAGTGATGGACAAACATGGGAAGGGAAGTCTCAGCAGAGGGAACAGCATGGGCAAAATATGGGAGACTGGGGAAAATTGTCTATTCAGGAACAGATTTCAAACCTTATTTAATCAGAAACTCGAGTTAAATCTCCACATACCTGGTCATATTCTTTGTTTTGCCTTACTAAGGAGAGTCTAAAGAATGCAACTAAATTGTTCCTTTTTATTATAGAATCCTCCATTGCTTAAGGAGTTTTACAGGGTATTTCTGTCCAGGCTCAGGAAGAGAGTTGAACATAGCCTTACCTCATGCCTATCACACAGGGATTTGTGTTTTTTGATAGCTACGAGTTGTTTATATTGCCATTTGATTCCTTCTCCTGCCTGTTAGTAAGGATATGAGACCTTATACTAAAAAGAAAACAGTGAAAAGCTCACAGCCTGGTCAATTGACTAAAAAAAGATTAATTGCCTGCTTCTTCAGATAAACAGATTCTTACAAATGTGCCATAACTGTGTACATGATCTACATGTTTTTCTTACTCATGGAGTGACATCTCTGTGAACTCTTGGAGCGGGTTCAGGAGCAGACGATGAGGCCAAGAAGAAATCCCTTTCAGAGTCCTTGCAGTAGACAGCACACTGACCCCCGCATCCTTTTGGCTCACCTTAGGAGGGCGCCAGCAGCGTGGGTGGACAGTTCCCCGACAGGCAAATGACTTCTACCTTGAGCGCCTGCACATCTCCATCTGAAAGCCCTTGTTACTCCCAGGAGTGAGCTGGCTCTGTGAGGAGCAGAACAGACATGGTGGGAAGTTAATATCCCCCGAAACAAGCCTTCACCAAAGAGAAACAAGCATTGGTGGATAAATGCCTCTGCCGTTGTACTGCTCAGTGGGCAATTCTTGCACCTAATTCTTTGCCTTGGGGATAACTCCAACTGAGACATCTCCATAAGCCATACTCAAGAGTTTAAATTCTACCTGTGGATCTAGAAAACCAATGAAGGGTTTTAATTAGGGAAGTGACCTGGTTACCGGCACACACATATACAATATACACATTTTTAAAATAAATATCACCAAGATGACTAAGATGAGGAAGGATTGAGAGGCAACAGAGAAAAAGGAATCTCAGAGATCCATAGCCAAAGTCAGGGGAAGGTTCCAAGGTGGTCATGACATAAAGCATGGAGTGCCTGAACTTCCCTGGCCCCAGCCCGTTGTAGCCACAGCTGTTCATCTTTGACTATTGGTAGTGATTTATATCCCAGAGAACTGCCCACCCACTTTTACTGGCACTTCTAATTGCAGAATTACACACATGTTTTCCAAGGAGAAAATGCTGCCTCCCCACTGACTCATGTTTATTTATCCCAGGCAGAAGGACCATTTTAGCACTCTTTCCACCATTTTCATCCCCAAATTTATCTTGGGCCTCTTAAGGAACCCAAGCATCTTGGTTTATTATGAACATACATTACCGGGGGCCAGAAGACTTTATTTCTCTCTTTTTTTTTTTTTTTAGATGGAGTCTCGCTCTGTCGCCAGGCTGGAGTGCAGTGACACAATCTCAGCTCACTGCAACCTCCGCCTGACGGGTTCAACCAATTCTCCTGCCTCAGCCTCCTGAGTAGCTGGGACTACAGGTGCACACCACCACGACCAGCTAATTTTTGTATTTTTAGTAGAGACAGGATTTCACCATGTTGGCCAGGATGGTCTCGATCTCTTGACCTCGTGATCTGCCCACCTCAGCCTCCCACAGTGCTGGGATTACAGGCATAAACCACCGTGCCTGGCCAGAAGGCTTTATTTCTAATCCTGGCTCTACCTCTTACTAGTCTCCTCCTAGCCTCAGTTGCCTTATCAGGAAAATGGGTATAAAAATTCTCACAGAGGCTGCTGTGTGGATGAAAGGAAATAACTAGTTGTTCTGCATGCTCATTGCTGATGGGCCCAATTTAAATATAGCTGTCCATTCCTCAGCTCAGCCACAAGCTAGTCAGGACTCCTTAGGGCTGGTAGGGGAGTCATTCATTAAGGAACTTTCCAAAATCCACATGAGCAGGGACCATGCCCACTCATCTCTTCATCTCCAGTGTCCACCTGGAGTCTAAAATGTACAGACTATTGTTAAATGAGGAAAAGATGACAGACATGAATGAATGAATGAGTGAGTCTGGCAACAGGCAGAGGCTTGGCCCCACTAGAGGGTCACAGGGAGAGGACAGTGCAGGGAGACATCTGTGTGCTGAGAACTGGCTGAGTAGAGCAGCCCAGGAGAATAGCCAAGCTGTGCCCAGTGGGGTGACAGGCTAAGGAATGGCCCTAAAAGGGACCCTGAGCACCTAGAATGAGCCTACCCAGCTAGACAGGTCTGGGGAACAACAGGAAACCAGTATCTCTATTCTCTCTCAGGGACCTGTCACAAAGCTGGCGGGCAAGGCTCACATACGTGGGGAGACCAATGATCCCTTGGGCTGAGGGGGTGTCCGAAGGAAAATTGATATGGTTTGGATTTGTGTTCCTGCCCAAATCTCATGTCAAATTGGAGGAGGGGTCTGGTGGGAGGTGACTGGATCATGGGGACAGATTTCCCCCTTGCTGTTCTCATGATAGTGAGTGAGTTCTCGTGAGATCTGGTAGTTTGAAAGTGTGTGGCACTTCCCTCTTCACTGTCTTCTGCCACCATGTGAAGAAGGTCCTTGCTTCCCCTTCACCTTGGGCAATGATTGTAAGTTTCCTGAGGCTTCCCAGTAATGCTTCCTGTTAAGCCTGCAGAACTGTGAGTCAATTAAACCTTTTTTCTTCATAAATTACCCAGTCTCAGGTAGTTCTTTTTAGCAGTGTGAGAATGGACTGATACAGACACATTCTGGCACGGGCAGGGAGAACTGCCTAGATGTGGGTCTCCTTCAAGAAACGAGATCTAATTTCCATAACCTATAAGAAGCTTAAACAAATCAACAAGCAAAAAACAAATAACCCCGTTAAAAAGTGGACAAAGGACAGGAACAGACACTTCTCAAAAGAAAACATACAAGCAGCCAACAAACATATGAAAAAATGCTTATCATCGCTAATCATCAAAGAAAGACAATGAGATACCATCTCACACCAGTCAGAATGATTTCTGTTAGAAAATCAAAAAATAACAGATGTTAACGAGGCTGCAGAGAAAAAGGGAACGCTTATACATTGTCGATGGGAATGTAAATTAGTCCAGCCAGTGTGGAAAGCAGTTTAGAGATTTCTCAAAGAACCAAGAGTTGAACTGCCATTCGACCTAGCCATCCCGTTGCTGGGTATATACCCACAGGAAAATAAATCATTCTATCAAAAGGACAAATGCATGCGTAGGTTTGTCACAGTGCTCTTCACAATTGCAAAACCATAGAATTAACTCAGGTGCCTTTCAAGGGTGGATTGAATAAAGAACATACGATACTTATATACCATTAAATACTACGCAGTCATGTAAAATAATGAAATCATGCTCTTTGCAGCAACATGAATGCAGCTGGAGACCATTATCCTAAGCTAACTAATGTAGAAACAGAAAATCAAATACAGAATGCTCTCACTTCTAACAGGAAGCAAAACACTGGGTACACACGGACATAAAGATGAGAACAATAGACACTGGGGAATACTAGAGGGTGCAGAGGAGGGACTGAAAAACTACCTATTGGATACTATACTCACTACCTGGGTGACAGTTTCGATCATACCCCAAACCTCAGCATCGGGCAATATGCCTTTGTACAAACCTGCACATGGACCCTGATTCTAAAATAAAAGTTGAAAAGAAAAAAAAAAACAAAAACTTGCCGATGACTTTACCTCCTCTGATCTCTCACATTCCAGAGGTCCTGCACTCTAAATTCTAGCTTTCTGCCTGGCAGTTGTCATCTGGGCGCTATTTTTATCCCACCTTCTTAGCTGCAGGTGTCTGGCAGTGTACCATGTACACAGCACCCAGGGGCCCTTGCCCAGCTCAGACTGTGCTTAACATTATCTGATGCCCAGTGGCATAGGTCATATTTACGAGAACCCACAAGATGGTAAGACAAATGCTTTCATGATCCCCAATTTACAGATGACACTGATGCACAGAGAGATCTAAAAAGTCTGCCTAAGGTTATGCAACTTATTGGTGGGGGGTGTTTGGGCTTGAGCCCAATCTCCAGATTCTTCCTCCTATGAAGAGTTTCTCGAGTTGCTGATAGTTTCAACAGTGAGATCATATTAGGATAAAAGAAACCCCACTGGCCACTGTGTAGACCTCAGATGGATGATTAGGCAGCTGGATGCCCCTTGTCAGAGAGGCTGTACCAAGTGGATAGTGGAAAGAGTGATCTCAGAGGAGCTGGTCTCTGATCTAAGGATGGCATGAGCTCAGAGCTACCAGCTTAGTTTAGCTCATGGGAGTCCTGAATCTAGGATTAGGAGAAGGCAACTAATGTGTCCCAATCATCTGGGGATACTTTGCTTTGCAGTGGAGTTTCACACCCAAAAAGTCTATGAGTCCCCAACATGGGCCGCATGACACCCCTGCAGGGCATGTGCTGAGCATTCTTGGCACTGTCTCTAGTTGAGGATGCCAAGATGCTGTGATAAGTGACTTGTCTAGCAGGGAGCTAACAGCTTTCCAGGGCCTCATGCCCCCTGCTTCCGAAATAACTTTCTTTGACAGAGAATTATCTAGAAAAAAAATTAAATAAAAAAATACATACACGCACACACATACTCACACACTTCACTCTCCCAGGAGTGCACTTGCTGTGTGACAGACGGATTCTATTTCTGTTGTGAGAACATGTGGCGTAGTCAGCAAGAACATGGCCCGAGAGGCATCGTGCGGGGAAGGCGCCTGCCTGGCCTATGTTCACATCATGGAGCAGGTTTTGGGGATGGGCTTGGAACCCTCTGGTTGCCAGTAATTTTTGATGAGCTGACACTTCACAAATGCTATTTCTTTCTGATTCTGGGAAGTTTGTGTAGCTACAAATGTTGTTATGGCAAGCTCACAGTGTGGGAGTAAGTGTGATTTTTTTTTTTTTTTTTTTTTTTTGGTTAAAAATAGATCCATAGAGGGTGAGAATTTAAAGGCACCTTTCAGTTAATGATTTTGCCATGGGAGAGCCAGAGAAGGCAAGGGGCTTGCCCAAGGACACACGGAGAGCTCACAGAGCATCTGGGAGGGGCAGGAACCAGCAGCCTCGCCCAGGGCCCTTTCCAGTGAGCTATAGTCACCTCTCAGTTTTCTTTGTTAAAGACACATAAGTACTTCTGTTGCAGATATGCAACCACTCCAGGCTGCCTTCTCCCTTAATCTCTTCCTATGAGGCTTCTGATTCCAGACAGAAAAAAAAAATGAAGTCTATGAGACAAAATCATCTTTTATTTTCAAAGAACATGGTAACTTCATGTTCAACTTTTGTATAAATTCTCTCTCTGCCTTAGTCATTCTCTTCTCTTTTGTAACTTTCAAAGCATCTTTGTTTCTCTGACTGCTCTTGCTTCTGTAAGTTCCTACCAGTTATCGATCTATCCAGTGATGAGGACTATGGCTTTCAGCTACGTCTCCAGGGGACCCTAAAATTACAGGCAGTGCCCTCTCCTTCTGAGAACTCCCTCAGTGCAAAGCGAGCCTGGGACAAAGGCCTGTTTGTAGAACTCCTAACCTGCTTCTTAAGCCCCATCTCAGATGTTGCCTCCTCTGGAAAACTTTGCTTGACTCCAAGAGAAGTGATCTATTTTACAAATGAGCACCCAATTTGTGTTTCTGAGCCAGCTTCCTCATGAGGAACCTTGGGGACACACCCACTTCACAGCATGATGTAACACACAGCACTGTGAGCCCACGCTTGAGCCTGTCTGTGAAATTATGTCAATACTCTCTCTGACCTTATCAAGGTCCCCTGCCAGGCAGATTGAGACAGTGTTGACAACTTGGCAAATTCGGTAGCCTTAGTCTTGATGCCATTTCCAGCCTCTGGGTTCCATTGCATTCCATAGCCTTCCCCATTTCAGGGTCTCGTTCCTCTCCTCACTCTTCACCAAAATATCCAGCTCCCAGGAAGGGGCCTATCTCTAACACTGTGCCCCACTCCTACCTACCCTCAAAGGTGCTCTCCATGTCTGAGCTATCTTCAAAAAATGTTGTCGTCTGCTAAAAGGGAATTCTGGTATCAAGCAGCAGGAATCTCATGGCAAAAGCCAAGAAACAGGACTTGGGGGAGCCAGAAGTTCTTTCTGGACTCCCTGAAATTGCCCAAATATGTAGCAACCTCCTCCACCCTGTGGCCCATCAGCCTGGAAGGCAGCCTGGAGAGTGACGGAATTCCACAGGCTGTGGACCAGCTGGATGGTGGAACCCAGCTCTCTGATTAGAAAATGTGAAGTGTGGGCAGTGGTCAAGGATGACCCCCTGTGGGGAAGACTTTTCACACCAGGCCCCTGGTGTGGCCTCTGGAATGTGGGAGAAATCTGTCCAGTCACAGAACTATTCAGGGAGGGGCATCATGTCCCGTGGCCTGGTTTATCACATCTCACAGAGTCTGCATTCAGGGGGGTCGGAGAGCTTGCCACAGCTTGACCGATGACCCCTCCATGGAGAATGGAGCCTCTGTTCCAGAACAAGCCTCAGCCTCAGCATCTGTCCTCTGAACCCCTTGCTGCCAAAGCTGTCTCCACTGACCCCTACAGTGGGGCCCCTCCCTGGCAAGGAGTCCAAGAGTTCCCAGATGGATGCCAGGGACCTCAGCCCTGCTGAACCTGGAGTCATTCTCCCACTGGGTGTAGTCTTTGTTCTCATAAGTGTTGGGTAGGTTCCCAGCGTCATGAGTTTGGGGTCCAAAGATACCCTGAGCACAGAAGCAAAGCAGAGTCAGGGCTCTGATGCTCTTCTCACCCCCGGAGCTGTACCTGGAAGGCAGGGTGGCTGGGAAAACTGAGGTCCCTGCCTGAAAGACATATAAAAATGAGCCTTGATGCTGGTGAGAAACAAACACATGTTCATACAGCCATGTCTGCACACACACATGCGCACATACACCCCCTCCACACACAGCCCCCACACTCATGAACACATACACGCACACACACACACGTGCACATGCAGAAGCAGTGTTCAGAACACAGTCACAGTAAGAAGTGGAGCATGGAAGACAGCAATATCCAAAGAGCTGGGTTGCCTCATGCAGGAAAAACGAACCATACACCAGGATTGCATGGTGGTAAGAGAACGGGGAAGCAAGTTGTGGAGAAGAGGTGATGTCACAGCCCTTTCCCACTTGTTCTGTAGTGTACCACCCAGATACCCCCATGGGGCTGAGTCACTCATTCCCCAGCTGCTGGGAGTGTTGGCAGCAGGCGACTCTGAGTTCCTCTGAACTTAATTGAGTTCCTCTCCCTGAGTCCCTGAATTCCTTAAAGAGAATCACCTCGCCCAATGTCACACCCTTTCCTGGAGGCAGCTCGCATCCAGTGACTGGTCAATAACAGGCTAGAAAGGCCTAGAGCCCTCCCCTGTATTGAACACAACTCTGAAGGGCCATCCCAGCTCCAGCACTGCCCGTGGGATCGGCTGATACCTTTCTTGTCGTTTTCCCTCTGCCCAGTCCTGCTGCTTTCTTTCCTCCACAGGCATTGACTGATCCTAAGGAGATTCTCCAATGAGCTTCCTCTTCCAGTTCCAGAGTCTGGCTCTTGGGGAAATTAACCCTACACACCAAGCCAGGCCCCAAGCTCAAGGGCAAAGGTGCACCAAGGAGCAAGATGGAGCTTCTACTCTTCAGGAACCCCTAGTGTGTGGGGGAGGCGGGTGTGTAAAAAAATAACTGTGCTCCAGTCAGTAAAAACCTGGGTTTGAGCCTTCAGTTCTGGTTTTGCATCTTACTATCTACCCCTCAGAGCCTCAGTTTCTCTACCTTTAGAATAGTTGTAATCACCTGCCTCACCTGGGACATGAGAAAATCACATAAAAGAGTAGACACTGGTCCAAGTGCCTATGGGCTGTAAATGCCTGCAGGATGTGCTGTGGAGCAGAGCCTGAAATGCTCCAGGAGGACTTATTCTGGCACACAATAGTTAAACACAGAGGCAGGTCCGGAGACATTTATTCTGCTAGAAATCTTTTGGGAAAAGAGAAATTAGACAGCATTCACACGGGAATAGGGGTTTTAGAAGATCTTGAACTGGGAGCTTCGGGTTCCCATCACAGCTCACCCTGGCCAGGCCTTGAGCAGGGCATGTCTTCTTTCTGGGAAGTGCTGCCCTCATTTCTCCTTTCCAGAAACACAACTGACACATAATTCCTGCCATCGTTCCTGATGCAAGTAAAAATGATGAACTTTCTTTTTGCTCTCTAGAACACTCAAAAATGCTCCTCTGGTGACAATTGGGATAATACCAATCTCCCTAACTGACTTTCCTGACTTTAATAACACAATGTGAAATGAGTTAGACTGCATCCTAAGCCCCTGACGATGTCCTAGGGCCTTCACTGTGAGCAACAGAAACTTCACCAGTTGGACAGGAACTTGTCCTCTTGAGCTGCATTAGAAGGAGTACATCAGGTTAGTGTCTGTCTCCTTAGGGTGAAGTAGGATGTACCAGAAGGGGCTTGGGTATGCAAGGAAGGGGAATAGAGTAGAAGACAGGAAGAAAAAGACAGAGCTCTCTGTTTTTTACAGCTTAATATGTATGGCCTTGAAGATCATTAAAGGGCTTCGTTGATTCCCACAGCTGTCACCTGAGCCTCTATAGAGGCGTTTGCAAAGTGCTATTCAAAGCACACAAGAGAGACCAGCATTTCTCCATCACTATTTGGCATGATTCCTCCATTGGCTGCACCAATGACCTCACCCACTCAGTCTGACCCTCTTATCCTCTAAGTGAATATTTCCTGAGTGAATGAATAAATGAACTTCTCAATCCTCAGCTACTCCCTTCCTCCTATATAACAACAAACAAGTAAAAGCTACATATACCTAAATTTATTGGCACACTCATATACAGATATAAACTCACAGAGTCCCATACATGCCTACCAGCCCTAGGTCACAGGGTCACATGCACAGACTCATGAACCTAGACACACAAGCACATACATAAGAGCCACACACACACGTGCATACACACACACAGATACTTACACATTCTCAAATTTTTACTCCTGAGCCCTCTGTTCCAATTCATGGTTGGTGGGACAGTATAACCAAGTGTGATTCTTTGACTAGGGAGTCATGATGACAAATTGCTTATCATACATTCGTGTATTCACTTATTCTAACATACAGTAGTTAAACAAGATTGAAGAAGAGCTGGCTATGGCAGTGGTAGGCAAAAGACTGAGAAACCAGTGCTAGGGAAGCTTCCATTTTTCCAACAGGACTGCCAAAGCCCTCTGTTACTCAGGTTGTTTTGTTCCTCTCCTTTAGGTGGAAATGAGAATTATTGTATGTCCATCTTTAAATTGCTCAAACATAGGAGTACAAACCAACTGTCAACTACAAAGGGCTGCAGAGAGCAGTCTTCAGGAAGACCAATTTTCTTCATCTCCATTTCCAGCCCTACAAAAGAAACTGGTTCGGTTCAAAGTACCAGTGATTTTATCTAACAGTCATCATGGCAGGCAAGATGAAGCATGCCCTTAAACTAATGTCCCTCCTGCTTCTTTAGCAATACTAAAAGAGTAGAATTTAAATGTTTTCACTTTCAAAGAAAATAATGAGTATGTGAGATAATGGCTTTGTTAATCAGCTTGAGGTAATCATTTCATAATATAAACATATATCACAGTATCACATCATCTCCAATAAGTACATAATACATACAATTAAAAAGTAATAATGATAAACTCAAAAAATCAGTTTCAAATATGGTATTTAATGCAATGTTACAAGGGAGGAAAACTGTCAAATTAATGATCGCCTCTGTTTTGTATTAAGAGAAGGCATTGTGGTTCAGACATGGCAGGTAACTGCCCTCAGGTAACAGTTCAGAAGGAGATAACCACATTTTTAATAATCTGTCACAATGTGAAACTTAAGCCCACTACACAATAAACAGCTTCTCCCACACTCCAGGTCATTTATAATACGAGTGACAGTAAAACATGAAAGAAAGTAAACATGAAAAATCGATACTCTAAAATAATTTTAGTTTGGGCCATACTGATTCATACCGGTGACAGGAAATCAGAATTTGATGGGGCCGGCAAGGCACTTGGAGCCCTCAGACACATGAATTGGTCACGTTGAATTCTGTCATCAGATTCCGGGTGTATCGGTGGTGCTTCATTTGCATTAAATGAAAAGCAGTCCAAAAATACACACTGTTGCTAAGGTTACATCTTGCTAGATGCAAATGAAGATGTGTTTGTTCAGACCAGTTAAAAATACCCTGGCACTAGCTAATTTTCCCATTGGCATAGAGGGATTATCAGCAGCCTATTAAACTGAGAGGTTAGGTTTACCTTACTCAGCATTAGGGGTCTGGAAAGAGCATTATTTCTGAGTAATATTTTTAGAACCTGTAGAAACTACTGTACTTTTTTTTGTTAATTCAAGTAATAAGTCTGGTTTCAGCAGAGTTATAAATATCATCTAATAGCAGGACCTACTACTGCAAATATATAATATACTTTCCCCAGGTTCAAAAAGAGCCATCTGCATTGATATTTTTGGAATCTGGGAGGAAATGGGAGCAAGCAGAGCTAGCAATTGCAGTTCAGCAGGACAGGTACAGAAGGATAACATCCTTTCACCTGGCTGAGACTTTTATGTAGATTATTTTACTTAATTCTCACATAACACCGCAAGGTAGAATTATTATTTCTCTCTTTAAATTGAGGAAACTGAGGCTTAGAGACATTCAGCCACTCTGTGGTAATAGAAAGGTAGAAGGTTAAATTTAGAATTAACTCTGAAAACGTGCTCTTTTTTCTATATCATGCTGCTTGTATAACCAAAGATGAATTCTCTAAAAAATTAAAATCTGAATAGGAAACCTGAGCCAGAAAATCAGAAGTTTTGGTGTTTAAAAAAAGAGATTATTCAAAATTGAAGTGTTTTTTACTTTTTAACCCAATTTTATTTATTTTCCTAAACATGCCTCAGCTTCCTGTGAATCAAGAACAAGTACTTCTGTTTCCCCTTCACCTCTGGAGATAACAACCCCCAAAATCATTAAGTCCCACTAGTTATAAAATCCTAAAATGTCAGAGTCAGAAGGGGCCTCAGAAATTACCCCACCCACCTCCTGGAGACACAAAATCCCTGGTACCACATCCTGGAAGGAAGGCCATCAGCCATCTGCTTGAAAGCCTGTATGTAAACAGTAGCTCACATTTGTTGAGTGCTAACTCAATATTGAGTACGAGGCACCCATCTAAGCACTTTACCCATTTTAATTTGTGTGATCCTTGTAATAACCCAATGACATAGGTACCATCACCCCTATTTCACAAATGAAGAAAAATACACATAGAAAGTTTAAGTAAATTGTTCAAGTCCACATAGCTTCTAAGTGGTAGAAATGGAATTAAATCCCATATAGTATTACCCAAGAACCTAAGCTCTTGACCACAGCATGCCACTTTCTTAAAGTAGCTCCCTACTTCACAAAACAGCCTATGCCATTGTAGTATGGAAAGGTATTACCTAGATGGGTAATATCCTTTGTTTACTTTAGAGTTCTTTGAGATCGAAATAAATTGGCCAGGTGTAGGAAGAGGAAGCAAAAGGAAGAAGAAAAGAGGAGAATGGGAGAAAGATGGTAATGTAGAAAATCTTGATTTCAAAAAGAAATATGGCAGTAATTGTCAACCCTTCCTAGGGCTATTGTAGGGGATAGAAGATCAACTTAATCATTATTTCAATTTATTGAGCACATATTATTGGCCAGATGTGTAACGTGTATTTTTACTAAGCTTCTCAATAACCCTGCAAAGCAAGTTATCACCATCTTGTCCCAGTAATGAAGAAAGTGAAGTTCACAGAGGCCAAGTCATTTGTCCAAAGTCACACAGATAAGAAGCGGTAGCCCCAGGATTCAAATCAAGAGCACAACACCTACAAAATGTATTATCTTTCCATTAGTACTAGGAAACATTTTTATAAAATTTCTTTTTGTATGTTTTCTAGAATTAAGACCTGATACCAGTATGTAGAAGTAATATGGAGTGAGATTTAAGTTTAGCTGTGGGAAAGAATTTCTACAGTTATTTAACTTCCTTCTGAAAACATTTTCTCCCTGTGTTGTCACACAGGAAAGTCCTCCTCTTACTACCTTGGCATATATTTTCCTGGTCTCCTACCTTCTCTCTGTTTTCCAAATATTAATGTGCCCCGTGCTCTCTATGGGGCATATTTCCTTCTCTAGTCACATTTTCTCCCTGGTTAATCTCTTCTAGTCTCAGTGCTCTGTGTATTTAATATCTAAATGTTGGTTCACAAATTTATATTGCTAAATCTGACCCTAGGACTCCCTTATCTAACTATTTATTCAACATCTTCACTTAAATCTCTAATAAATGTTTAAAACGTAACAAATAAATGAGCCCTATGATTCTTATCTTCCTCAAAACCCCCTGTCATTCCATCACAGTCCTCCCCAAACAGGATCCTGCATCCATTCAATGGCAAAACCTACACATGACCCTGGATTCCATTCTTCTTCTTAGTCCCCAAATCCAGTCTCTCAGCTAGTCCTATGGTTCATCCCCTGAAACACATCTTGAATCTCTCCACTTTTCCCCACTGATGCTACTACCACCTGGGCCCAAGCCATGACAATGAGTTGCCCAAATAACTTCAAAGACCCATCATTCTTCTTTCTACTCTTGCTCTTCAGAGCAAACATAGTGATTTTCCTACAATGTAAATCAAACGAGGTCATTTCATTCTTTTTAAAACTCCAGTGGTTTCCAGCTGAATTTAGAATAAAATTCAAACTCTTCCCTCTATCTCAGGATTTCTCCCTTGTTTTCCTCTAGTCTAATTCTATATCACTTCCTATGTCACCCATCAGTCTCCAGCCACACACACCTTTGTCTCTTCCTGCAACACTCCAAGGTATTTTTACTTGCTGGGCCTTTTGTTTGCAAGACCCCTCACCCTAATTTTCACATGGATGACTATTTTTTATCTTTCAGGTCTCAAGCCAAATACTCTCAATTTGTAACAAAGTACTCCAAAAATTAATGGTATAAAACAACCATTTACTATGATCATAGATTTTATGGGTCATGAATGCAGACATGGCCCAGCAGACCTGGGACTGGAGTGATCTGAAGCTTGTTCACTCAAGTGTCTGGAGGCTGATACTGGCTGTTGGTTGGGGGCCTCAGTTCCCCTCAATTTGGGCTACCTTGCACTTCCTAGTGCAGTTACTACAAGGTGAGTATTAACTGAGTTCTAAGGATGAGTGTCCTGAGAGAGAACAAGAAAGGGAGAGAAAGGGAGACATCATACTGCCTTTTCTGAGCTATCATCAAAAGTTACACAATATCACTTTGGCCATATTCTGTTCTGTAGAGGAAGTCACAAAATCCTGGCCAGCTTCGTGAGGTGATGAAACAGGTTGTGTTTCTTCTAGAAGACCACATGGGAAATGACTACAATCGGAGTTTTCAACTGATTTCAGCCTCCAGCCCCAGACCTCATAGAAAAGGGACATGCACTCAGCAATCAGTGAGCTGAAGTAAATAAATGTTTTAAGCTATTGATTTTTGTGGTAATTCATTAATCAACAATGGAACTAGAATATTGTGATGGGCTGAATTGTGCCCACCTCCAAAATCTTCATATGTTGAAATTGAAATCCTAATCCCCAGTGCCTCACAATGTGTTATATTTGGAGATAGGGTCTTCAAAGAGGTAATTAAGTTAAAATGAGGTCTTTAGGGTAGGTTATAACCCAATATGACTACGTCCTCATAAGAAGAGGAGACTGGGACACAGACACACATAAAGGAAAGCCCATATAAAGATACATATATGACTAGAAGGTGGTTGTCTGCAAGCCAAGGAGAGAATCCTTATCAAAAACCAACCCTGCCGTAACCTTGATCTTGGACTTCTTGGCTCCAGAACTGTGAGAAAATAAATTTTCGGTTAAGCCAGCAAGTCTGTGGTATTTTATCATGGCAGCCCTAGAAAATAGTGCAAGCAGTATCCTAGGTAAAAAAATAAAAAATAAAAAAACACAATTGCCCAAAGAAATGTATATGTTCTTTGGAGCATTTGTTTTGCATAGGAGACATATGAAAGCAGAACTAATTTTTCCTCAAAAGAGAATTAAACTGTGAATGATACATCTCTATCACAAAATAAAAGGTTAACATTTAAAAATATTTAGGTACCATGTATCTGTTTATACTAATATAAAAAATGCAACTTATTAAATTTTAAAGAACGGCGGGGCACAGTGGCTCCCACCTGTAATCCCAGCAGTTTGGGAGGTGGAGGCAGGTAGATTAAGTGTGGTTAGGGGTTCGAGGCCAGCCTGACCAACATAGTGAAACCCCGTCTCTACTAAAAATACAAAAATTAGCCAGGCACGGTGGTGTGTGCCTGTAATCCCAGCTACTCAGGAGGCTGAGGCAGGAGAATCACTTGAACCTGGGAAGTGGAGTTTGCAGTGAGCCAAGATGGGGCCATTGCACTCCAGCCTGGGTGAGAGAGAAAGACTCCATCTCAAAATAAATAAATAAATAAGAAACAAAAAAAAAAGGTTACAAAACATTACTTATAGCATAATGACATATACATGTTTTCAATATCAGCATATCTATATCTGTGTATGTATTGTATATAAATGCACAGTGGTAGTTCTAGAAGTATAACACCAAATATTTCATTGTGTTTACTCTGGGGAATAGAGTGGGTTCCATACAGCTATGAGTGTGTTGGTCTTTTACTTTGAACTCTGTATACTTCTAAATTGTTGACATTTTTACACTGGCTATGCATTCCTGTATTAGTAATGCAAAAATAAAGTTGATTCCTTAATTAACTCATCATATCTTAATTAACCCATTATAATACCAATTTCCTGTTTTTCCAGGTCCAGCTTGTTGTAGACCAAGACTGCCGCAGAAGATTCTCTGATCCAGCAGCCTCTAACACCCTTCAGCTCTGTGGGAAGCACAGATTAGGTCTTGAATGCCTCAGCTTGGATGAAAATGCTGGGACAGCAGAATTTGATGGAAATTTCATTAGTGGACTGAATTACCAGAGCCCAGATTGTTAGGTTTGGAAGCGTCCATACTTCTGCCTGGGAATATGGGGTATAAGGTTGCTGCAGTGGCTAGAATAGTTGTTTCCATTTTGGATGCCTCCCAAGACAAGGAATAGAGACAGATTGTCTTAAAAATTTAATTCTCTAAATTTGAAAAAAAATTACCAACTACAAACTATGAGCCAGGATGTATGCTACAAAATGTACATAAACAGTCCATTGCATCCATTGAATGTTCATAAAACTGTGCAAATTTGATATTATTGTCCTAATTTTACAAAAGGGAAACTAAGGCTAAGAAAGTTGGCTTAATTGGAGTAATTCTGAGATCTTTTAACAAAGCAGGCTATTCTCTTGGGAAAAAGTAAGATGTACACTACACCCCCCACCATCTTACCTGATACTAATTAATATCTTCTACCTCATGCCTTTTGTCTCTTATCATGCTACCCTCTTTCTGCCATGTGCAACTGTTGAAGTGAGGCATGGCTTTGCGGCCCCAGGCAATCCTGAGTCCTTCCTTCCTCTCAATATACTCAGGGGCCCCACTCTCTAGGCACTTTTATCAGAGAGAGAAGGGCCAAGAGGTATGCATAGTGGGAGATCCAGGGGTGCTCACTCTCAGAAAACAAGTTAGCTGAAGCAAATGCCAGAAATAGAACAGTTTGCTTAAAACCAAGATGGGAAGAAGCTAGAACGAGGTATGAGGGCTGGGAGAGCAGGGGAGTAAGGGATGAGTGATGGCTGAACAAGGTCAGAAGTAGCAGTGTTGAGGTATTAATTATATTTTTTTATTTTCTATATGAGTGATAATCTGGTATCTGGAGTTTCACTGACTGGAAAGAGGCTGCCCCACCCAGGGCTTGCTAATTCTTAGAGATAGCAGAAGACTCGCTGAGGAGAGCACCTTTCATCTGTATACCAACCAATCCAGAGCCCGTACTCACAACCACCTTCTCTATCTGGCTCTTACACTCCAGGAGGTGGTATTCTTCTGCCCTACTTATCCCAGAAACAGGTACTGGACAATTAGGGTCAGCTCCTATGCCCCAGAGCCCACTGAAATTATTCAAACTAGCCCATTCTAAATCTGCATGCCTTGCCTTTCCCACAGAAACCACAACAAAGGCTCTGAACTCTGCTTTCCTTGACTTTCTCTGCCTGAGACTCCCGCCCCCCGCCCTGGTTCTTCCCCATGTGGCCCAGGCCTCCTGTTTCTAGAGAATTGTGAGAAAACCCCTCATGACAGTCATTTATGTGCCTACATGCCTTATCGTTATCTGATTAAAACAAATCAAGAGTATAGTTTTCAATAGCTGGTCAGGAAAACAAATAAATATCAAGATGTTTAAGACACTGGCTGGTGTAAGGAACAGGTACCGGACAATTAGAGCTAGGTGTGAGGGTCAGTCTATGTTGATCCACTCTGCCATGGAGCACACTGATTGGCACTCAGAGCTCGAAGACTCTCTCCCTTTGCCCTTGATCTAAACCAGCTTTCTGAAAATTGTCTCATCTGTCACCTAGAAGTCAGCATTTACTCTTTGAACTTGCTGGACTTTCCTAGGAATATGGAATATTTTGTCCTATGGGAATAAAATATTGAGACCTTAAGTAGCATTTGCAGGTGACCTGGAAAACCCTGAATCCACATCCCTAGAGCACAATCAATGCCAGCTCAAGTGATACGGTTTGGTTCTGTGTCCCCACCCAAATCCCATGTTGAATTGAAATCCCCAGTGTTGGGGGAGGGACCTAATGGGAGGTGATTGGATCATGGAAGTGATTTCTAATGATTTAGAACCATCTCCCTAGTGCTATCTCCTAATAGAGTTCTCACAAGATCTGATGGTTTAAAAGTGTGTGGCACTTTCTTCCCCTTCACCTTCCCTCCATGACTGTAAGTTTCCTGAGGCCTCCCAGCTATGCTTCCTGTACAACTTGCAGAAATATGAGTCAATTAAATCTCTTTTCTTCATAAATTACGCAGTCTCAGGTAGTTCTTGCAGCAGTGTGAGAAAAAACCAATACACTAAGGTGGCTGTTATTATTAATCTGGTCTCATTGCAAGGCAAAGGAGTCATAATTAGGATTTGCTTTTCTTTCTCTGGTGAAAAGAAGAGGTAACTGACTGACACACAAAGAAAGAAGTCAACAAAGCATCTTCCCAGTAGCTGTTTTCCTAGTCACGCATCCAATGTGTGATCTAAATGCTCAAGAAGGCACGCTCCTTTCTTTCCTTTCAGAACAACCACATTTAAACTTTGATCCTCTGGGACCTGTAGAACTTTCCCCTCACTGGTCCTCAGTTTCTCCGTCTATACAGAGAGATTGATAAATGAGTTGATCTCTAAGGTCTTATCCAATTTGCAGAGCCCGTGATGACCAACTGAAGCATTTAGAGACAGGCTTAGCCTTGAGTATAGTGAGACAGAAGTCCCAGTTAGATCGGAAAGCTCTAACTTTATTACAGATGCCAATTCCTTTAATACTGCAGGACTGCCGTGCATGAGTACATGAATGCATACACACATACACACACAAGAAAGAAAAAAGACTGGTTTACTTATTGATTTTGGTTTATCCACATTAAAAGCCAATACTTTATACTCCAGACAACTCTTTCTGGGTTGTAGGCCGTCTGGATAGCTCCCCAGATGCTGATCAGACCCACCAATTATCAGGAAGACAGGCCCCCACCCCTAAATAATGGAGGAAGCATGTGAGTATTCCATAGAGAACAAAGATTTGGGGCCCAGGATATTCTAACCAGAGCAGGTGCAAAATGCATTTCAGAAGGAGAAGCTAAGTGAAGAAAAGCTCCTTTCATTCCTTCAACTTAGGAAACTTTTCTTGGGGCATTGATTTTAGACATCCACAACTAAACAAAGTCACCATTAATTTTTACTTCAAAGGCCTTTTCTATGAGCTCTAGTGGGACAAGTGGATTAGGAAGGCATTTGTGGTTGTGAATTTGCTGTTATTTCTTTTAATGTGGTGCATCTGACGTGCTAAATGCACTAAGTACCTAATAAACTGTAAACTGAATCGTGAACAATTTCATTATCTTGTTCAGGGACACAGATATCCATTAGTTAATTCACCTATTTGCAAAATAAACAAAGGACGTTTTACAAATGAGAGAAGCATATTGTTTTTAAATTGTATTTATTAATTCATACTCCAGACATCAGGCAAGATGATAGGCTGAGAATTAGCTCCATCTCGCTTCCACACTTCTCCCAATAAGAGAAAAAAAAGACAAGTGAACTCAAATTTTTACAGCTGTGAGTGAAAGTTTAAGCCAAGAAAAATTCCTGTGAGTACTTATATCGAATACATGGTTCAGGAGCTGAGGTTTAAATATCTGTGGGAGAAATGAAAAAAATATGGCCACGTATTCCGAGGCAGTCTGAAGTGGCCTCACTGCACAAAGCCCAGCATAACAGAAGCTACGCTACCTGTGTACTGAGGCTAGAAATGTTCCACCTGTTGGACAAGGAGCAGGATGGCTTAACCAAGGAGGAGACAGAGGCAGAGATTAAACCTCTAAAACTGTAAAGAACACTACCATGTAGCTCTTATGAATACTTTTCAGAAGATGTAAAAATTCCTGATTGGGAAACTATTGTCAGAAAGGACCTGGTCCTGATTAATCTCATGGATCTCCAGATGACTGCTTCTACAAATCATTCTACACTCAGGATTCCCACAAAAACGAACTCCACTGGATATTAGAAACCACAGAAAAAAACTGCCATGTGGTATCATCAGCAATGGCAAAAGACATGGGAATTTGTACCCAAAGAAGATACTTTAATTAGGAATATTTAAAGTGTTTCAAAAAGCAAATTAAGAAAGGAAAGGTACAATGTAAGAATATAATAGAATAAAAACATAATAGGCAAATCTAAAAATAAAAATAAAGGGGCTAAAACTGAGGGGCAGGGAATTCAGCATCTTGGCTTAACAATTGATTAACCAATACAAAAATCAAAAGAACCATCCAGAATGCAGGAGAGCTGTGCAAAATGGAAAATAGAATCCAAGAGATATGAGGCTTAAGACATAAATTCCAACACAATCAGATAGGTGTTCAAAGGGACTTGCCTTGTGTTTCCTAACTTGAATGAGCTGTGACCAGCTTTGGTTTCAAGACTGTAATAGTCTTATCAAAAGTGCCGGTCAGTTTCCCTCTTTTCCTAGTCTCTGTAATATTTTCTATTATTTAATAGTTATTGTTCCTTGGTAGGAGGTAAAATAGGCCTGGGGAATGTGTGGAGTGGGGTTGTTGGTGACTGAACATTTTAACTATAAAGTTATTCGATGGTAACATTTGAGGATTTTTATTTCTTCTTGAGTCAATTTTCATGTTTATAATTTGCTTTAAAATGTATACAGTTCAGTCATTGGCATTAAACTGACTAACTCATTTTTGAATGTACATTTGATAAAATCAAATACTCATTTATATTTTTAAAAAATCTTAGTAATCTAGAATCTGAAATAGATAACCTTAACCTGTTAAAGGTATTCTACTAAAATATGTCAGTAAGTGTCACATTCAATGTAAAAAACAGAACAATTTCCCAAGAGAGTGAAAATGAGATCGAGATGCCTACTGTCACTATTTATTTAATATTGTATTGGAGGTCCTAGGCAATACATTTAGACAAAAAAAATAAATAAATAACTGATAAAAGTTTTAATAAAAATAAATTTTTTATTATTTGCAATTTACATGATTTTTGTAGATGAAAAAACTCAGGCTCTACCAATAAGCTATAGAAGTAGTAAATGATTTTAGTGAGGTCTCTGAGTAGATCAATATACAAAAACTGTATTTTCATATATGAACAATAAAAATTTGTTAATGAAATTTAAAAATGTATTCCATTAGAATAGCATGAAAAATATCAAACACATAAGTATATAAGAGGTATATAAGGATTATATACAGAAAGCTGTGAAACATTATAGAGATAAACAAAAGAAGATATATAAATAAGGGGATATACCATATCATTGATTGGAAGGCCCAACATTATAAAGATATCAATTCTCCCCATATCCATTGAAAGATTCATTGCAATCAAAATCATGATAGGAGAGATTATTTTTGATTCTTTATTTTGTATTGTTCTTCAGAGAAAATTGACAAGCTAATATTAACATTAAAATGGAACTGCAAAAGAGAAAAAGTTATGGTAATTTTGAAGAATAAACAAAATTGGAGAAATGGTATAACCAGACAGAAAGAATTATTAGAAAGCTACAGTATGTAGCTACAGTGCTGCAGCACTGGCTTTAGGATAGACAAAGAACCTAGTGGAGCCAATTGAGATTCAGAAATAGACTCTCATATATATGAGAATTTATTTATAATAAAGTGGCTCTGCATAGCCATAGGGAAAAGGCAGCCTTTTCAATAAATGGTTCTAGGTCAAATGGAATTTTATGTTAGAAAATGTGAATATTGACACCTACTTCACATTATGTACATCACGTACAAACATTAATTTCAGTTAAATTGCTTAACTCAACTTGAAAGTTAAAACAACACAGTTCCTAAATGATAACATACATTCAATAATACATATACTAAAGGATGTTATTCAGCTAAATGACTGTCAGAATAAAAGCAACAGTGAGTTAAGAAGATAAAATATTTTCATAAAGACTAAATTTTATTGAGTATAAATATTAAAACATAAATGTTAAAAGTATATGAGATTTGATATTAACTCATTTTAATAACTCATATGTTAAAGAGAAAATAAAAATGGAAAGAATATTTTTAAATGAACAGAATATATCACTACAGCTTAAAATTGTGAGATGTAATTAAAATAGTATTTTAAAATACAAGGCCAAATGCATAAGGTAAAAAATTTTAAAAAACTGACAACAAATGAGCTACTAATGAAGAAAAGTGAAATAACAACTCAGGAAAGTCAAAGTAAACAATAATTTTCAATAAACAAACAAAACAGTAATATAAAGCAAGAACCCAAGTATTAGTAACAGTTATTCTTTCCAAAGCCTAATAAAATATAAAAAAACTCACCAGGAATAAAAAATTAAATGCTGAACATATTACCAAAAACTAGAATGTGCTGTAGATACTGTAAGAGAATAGGAATAACTATGTACCAGTAAGTTTGAACTTAAATAAAATAGAAAACCTTTTAGAAACATATGTGATAAAAACAAACTCACTAAGAATACGGTCAAGGCCATTGTGCATTTTTAAATGCACTATTAATTTTGGTTTGCTGGTATTATATCTGAGAATTTTATATCTGTAACTTAAAAGTGAGAGACATCTATGATTTATTGTTTGGGTATTATCTCTAACAATTTTCTTTTCCTTAAAATCAGGATTATAATAGTTTTATAAATTAATTTAGAGACTTTCCATATTCATCTATGCTTCAGAGCAGTTTATCAATTGAGTGTTTTTAAAGTTTGAAATAAATCACTTGTAAAACCAATTTGTCCTAGAGCTTTTATTAAAGATATATGTAATAAATCTTTAATATCTATCATGTTTATTGTTCTATATAGATTTTCTGTTTCTTGATTCAATTTTGTATATTTATATTTTTAAGAAAAATAACATTGATATATCATAAGAAAGTAAAAAATTATTTTATTATAATTTTTAATCTCATCTATATCTATTATTGCACCCTCATTTATAGTTGTATTTTTGCTTGTGTTCTCTCTTTAATTGGATCATCATCTATTTATCTATTTTACTGATTTTTAAAAATTATCTCTTGGTTTTATTCATCAAATCTTCTTGGTTTTGTTCTTCAATTCTCAGTATCCTGTTTTGTGTTTACTATTTTATTTTCTTTATGTAAATCTGTCCTCTTCTTTTTCTAATATCTTTATTTGAATTCTTATTTTATTTAATTTTCTTTTAATAGCTACTTTTATAAATTTGTATCATTATATTTTGGGAAAGGTTATTTTGAATTGTGCTTGTCATAAAATAATGACTTTCCATAATTAAAATGTATGGGAAATCTTGCTTTAAAAATTCATACATTGAATCAATCAAATCAGAAACTTGGGAATAATCAATCTTCCACCTCTCCAGCTTTCCCCCGTTTTACACCAGCCCACATTGGCCTTGAATTTTTTAGTCTATTTTTCAAAATTCTATTAGTTCTGTCCTTTTTCTGTTTCCATTCCTGCTGCCACTATTGTAAAGTTATCTGTCATTTCCACCCAGATTGCTGCAATAATCATTAATCTTCCTGTCAACTGCTGCTTTTTAAATATTTATTGTCCACAATGCCGTTAACAATTTACAACTAAGTCCACAGTTTGCTGTCCACTGAATTTTGTCCCCTTAAAATTCGTATGTTGAAACCCTAACCACCAATATGACTCTATATTGGAACAAGGCTTTTTGGATGTAATTAGGTTACATGAGGTCAGAAGAGTGGGTCCCTGATCTGATAGGATCGGTGTCCTCGTAACAGACACCAGAGAGCTCGCTTTCTCTCCACCGTGTGAGGGTGCAGAGAAAACTTCGCCATCTGCAAGCCAGGAAGAGAGTCTTCACCAGGAACCGACAGTGGTGGCACTCTGATATTGGACTTCCTCCTTTCGGAAGGATGAGAAAATACATTTCTGCTGTTAAGTCACCCAATCTGTAGTATTTAGTTGTGGCAGCCCAAGCACATTAATACACATTGGTCATGATACTTCCTCATTTAAAATGTTAATGACTTTGTAACGCTTTAAATTCAATTTTCTAATCATGGCTCATAAAGACTTCCATGATTTGTTCTTACATCTCCCTGTCTCCTCTCCCCATTAATCACCCCAGATCATCAGTTGTGCCAGGATGGGAAAGCACCGCCATCCACAGAGCATTCAGTTTCCACCCGCTTCTACACAAACCTTTCCCAGCCCTGCCCCACCAAATTCTCTCTCACAAGTGAAATGGATGGACCTTTTCAACTATTTTACTCCCTTTGCCTAACACTGTGCCTGACATATAATAGAGATTCTATTACAATCGGTGGAATTGAGTAAAAATGAATAAAAATTATTAGCTATTTTCTTAATTACATTACATGATATATTTTAAAGACCACACACTTTGCTTTTGTTTATTTTAACAGATTAAATCACCCAATTTCCAATTCCATGTCCTAATTCAGGCAAGAATATCCAAAGGCCCCAGAAGAGAAGAGACAGGAAGATGCTGATGAAATAAAGTTCCAGGCCTGGGACTACTCTGTACACGAGTCTGATTACCAGCTAGTATAGAAATCTCCATGATTTACTGACGATGGCAGGTGGCCATCAGGAGATTCCAGGAGATTTTCCAGAAGAAAAAACTCACATGTGAGCCTTTGCTGTACTTGACCCAGCATCCACCAGTAACAGAAATGTGGGTAGTTGCTGAAATGAACGCTTTTGTCTCTGTTTATAGAAAAGGGAGGCTGGGGGCGGTGGCTCACGCCTGTAATCCCAGCACTTTGGGAGGGCAAGGCGGGCGGATCACGAGGTCAGGAGTTCCAGACCAGTCTGACCAACATAGTGAAACCCCATCTCTAAAAATACAAAAAAATTAGCCGGGTGTGGTGGTGTGCGCCTGTAATCCCAGCTATTCGGGAGGCTGAGGCAGCAGAATCGCGTGAACCCGGGAGGCGGAGGTTGCAGTGAGCCGAGATCAAGCCGTTGCACTCCAGCCTGGGTGACAGTGCAAGACTTCGTATCAAAAAAAAAGAAAAGGAAAATAATGCCTCAAAGTTGTCAATTGGACACATTGAAAGAACAAATGACACCCAGTGAAGCAAGGATTTAAGAAGATAAAATCAAAACAGTTTTCCTTACAGCAGACACTGCTGGTGCTCCCCCCATATCTCCTCAGGTCCCTTGTACTGTTTCTGTGCTGATCACACTGTAATAAAACAGGAAATTACTAGCAAAAAGTTAACAAACTTAAAAAAATTAAAACATTGCTCTGTTAAATGAGAAAATTAAAATTAACATCACGCATTATCAATGAATTAACTCAAAAGCACAACATTAAAAAAGATGTTATTTACATATCTAAAGGAACTCCATAATGTTTTTTAAACATTTTTATTTCAATAGCTTTTGGGGTACAAGTGGTTTTTTGTTACATGGATGAATTACATGGTGGTGAAGTCTGAGATTTTGGTGCACTCATCACCCAAGTAATGTACATTGTGCTCAATTGGTAGGTTTTTTTTTATCCCTAGCCCTCCTCCTACCCTCCCACTTCTGAGTCTTTAAAGTTTATTATACCACCCTGAATCCCTTTGCATATTCATAGCTTAGTTCTCACTTATAAGTGCAAATATGCAGTTTTTGATTTTCCACTCCTACGTTACTTTACTTAGAATAATGGCCTCCGGCTTTATCCAAGTTGCTACAAAAGACATTATTTTATTCCTTTTATGTGGCTGAGTAGTATTCCATTATATATATATATATAACAAAATTATATAATTGATACATGTAATTGATATATGTAAAATTGATATATATATATATATATATATATATATATATATATATATATATCACATTTTCTTTACTCATTATTTGATGGACACTTAGGTTGGTTCCATATCTTTGCAATTGCGAATTGTGCTGCTACAAACATAAATGTGCAATGTCCTTTTCATATAATGACTTCTTTTTCTTTGGGTAGATACCCAGTAGTGAAATTGCTGTATCGAATGGCAGAACTACTTTTAGCTCTTTAAAGAATCCCCATACTGTTTTCCATAGAGGTTGTACTAGTTTACATTCCTAACAGCAGTGTATAGTATAGGTGTTCCCTTCTCCCTGTATCCATGCCAACATCTATTGTTTTTTAACTTTTGAATAATGGCAATTCTTGCAGGACTAAGGTGATATCTCATTGTGGTTTTTATTTGCATTCCCCCGATGATTAGTGATATTGAGCATTTTTTCATCTGTTATTTTGCCATTTGCATATCTTCTTTTGAGAAATGTCTGTTTATGTCTTTTCCCTACTTTTTGATGGGATTATTTGTTTTTTTCTTGTTCATTTGTTTGAGAACTCCATAATCTTAAAGGTTTTTCATTACTAAATAAGAAAGACTGATAATAAATTAAATAATAATTAAGCTCAATAAGTTAACTGAAGGAAAACAAAAACTTATAATAGATCCATAAAGGTAAAACCATCATATATTGTGAATTAGAAAGCAAAGCAAATCCAGCAGCACATCAAAAAGATAATTCATCATTATCAGGCAAGTTTCACCCCAGGAATGCAAGGATGTTTCAACATATACAAGTCAATAAATGTGATTCACCACATAAACAGAATTAAAAACAAAAACCATATGATCATCTCAGTAGACACAGAAGAAGCATTCAGTAAAATCCCTTTATGTTAAAAACCCTCAACAGGCTAGGCATAGAAGGAACATACCTCAAAATGATAAAAGCCATATATGACAAACCCACAGCCAACATCATCACAGTGAATGGGGAAAAGTTGAAAGCATTCCTCCTAAGAACTGGAACAAGGCAAGGATGCCTACTTTTGTCACTTGTATTCAACATAGTACTGGAAGTGCTAGCCAGAACAATCAGGAAAGAGAAAGAAATAAAGGGCATACACACTGGAAAACAGAATGTCAAACTATCTGTTTGCTGATGATATGATTGCATACCTAGAAAACCCTAAAGACTCCAAAACACTATTAAATTGATACATGAATTTAATAAAGTCTCAGGTTACAAAGTCAATGTACACAAATCAGTAGCACTGCTATACACCAACAGTGCTCAAGCTCAGAATCAAAACAAAAAGTCGGTCCCTTTTACAATAGCTGCAAAAAAAAAAATCCTCAGAATATACTTGATGAAGGAGGTGAAAGATCTCTACAAGAACTACAAAACACTGCTGAAAGACATCATAGATGACACAAACAAGTGGAAATACATCCCATACTCATGAATTTGAAGAATCGATATTGCGAAAATGACCATATTCCCCAAAGCAATCTATAGATTCAAAGTAATTCCTATCAAAATACCAACATCATTTTTCACACAGAAAAAAATGTCTAAAATTCATATTGAACCAAAAAAGAGTCCAAATAGCCAAAGCAATCCTAAGTGAAAAGGTTAAATCTAGAGGCATGACATTACTTGACTTCAAATTATACTACAAGACTATAGTAACCAAAACAGCATGGTACTTGTATTAGTCTGTTTTCATGATGCTAACAAATACATACCCAAGACTGAGTAATTTATAAAGGAAAGAGATTTAATGAACTCACAGTTCCATATGGCTGGGGAGTCCTCGCAATCATTGGCAGAAGGTGAAGGAAGAGCAAAGTCACATCTTACATGGTGGCAGGCAAGAGAGCTAGCACAGGGGAACTCCCATTTATAAAACCATCAGACCTCGTGAGACTTATTCACTACCAAGAGAACAGTATGGGGGAACAACATCCATGATTCAATTATCTCCACTTGCCCCTGCCCTTGACATCTGGGGATTACTACAATTCAAGGTGGGATTTAGGTGGGGACACAGCCAAACCATATCAGTACTGGGATAAAAGTAGATACATGGATCAATGGAACAGAATATAGAATCTAGAAATAACGCATCTAGAAATAATGTATTCTAATCTAGAAATAGAGATTCTAAAAATAAAGCCCAACCAACTGATCTTTGACAAAGCATACAAAAACATAAATTGGGGTAAAGGATACCATTTATTCAATAAATGGTGTTGGGAAAACTGAATAGCCACATGTAGAACAATGAAACTAGATCTCTATTTTTCACAACGTACAAAAATCAACTCAAGATGGATTAAAGACTTAAATCTAAGAACTGAAACCACAAAAATTCTAGAAGAAAACCTAGGAAAAACTCTTCTCGACACTGGAAGAGCAAATAATTTATAACTAAGACCCTATATTAGTCTGTTTTCACGCTGCTGATAAAGACATACTCGAGACTGGGAAGAAAAAGAGGTTTAATTGAACTTGCAGTTCCATATGGCTGGGGAGGCCTCATAATCATGGTGGGAGGTGAAAGGCACTTCTTACATGGCAGTGGCAAGACATAATAAGAAAGAAGCAAAAGTGGAAACGACTGATAAGGCCATCAGATCTATTGAGGCTTATTCACTATCACGAGAATAGTATGGGAAAGACTAGCCCCCATAATTCAGTTTCCTCCCCCTGAGTCCCTCCTGCAACACATAGGAATTCTGGGAGATACAATTCAAGTTGAGATTTTGGTGGGGACACAGCCAAACCATATCAGAACCTAAAAGCAAAAGCAACAAAAACAAAAACAAAAATAAATAAATGGAACCTAATTAAACTAAAAATCTTCTGCAATGCAAAAGAAATAATCATCAGAGTAATCGGACAACTCACAGAATGGGAGAAAATGTTTGCAAACTATGCATCTGACAAAGGACTAATATCCAGAATCTACAGGGAGCCCAAAACAGTATAAGAAAGAACAAATAAACCCATCAAAAAGTGAGCAAATGACATGAGCTGGCACTTCTCAAAAGAAGATATACAGATGGCCAACAAGCATATGAAAAAATATTCAACGTCATTAATCATCAGGGAAATGCAAATTAAAACCACACTGAAGTACCACCTTACCCCAGCCACAATGGCAATTATTAAAAAATCAGAAAACAATAGATATTGGCATGGATGTGGTGAAAGTGAATGCTTATACACTGCTGGTGGGAATGTAAATTAGTATAACCTCTTTGGAAAACAAATGGGGATTTCTCAAAGAACTGAAAGTAGATCTACCATTTCATCCAGCAATCCCACTACTGGCTATCTACCCAAAGGAAAAGAAGTCATTATATAAAAAAAAATTCTACATGTGTATGTTTATCACAGCACCATTCACAATTGCAAAGATGTGGAACCAACCTAAGTGCAAATAAACCGATGAGTGGATAAATAGAAAATGTGGTATATATACACCATAGAATACTACTCAGCCATAAAGAACAAAATAATGTATTTTGCCACAACTGGCATAGAACTAGAGGCCATTATTCTAAGTGAAGTAGCTCAGGAAGAAGACACCAAATACCCTATGTTCTCACTTACAAGTGGGAGCTAAGCCATGGGTATACAAAGGCATACAGAGTGGTATAATGAACCTTGGAGACTCATAAGTGAAAGGGTGGAAGGGGGATGAGGGATTAAAAGAACTACTTGTTGGGTACAATGTACACTACTCAGATGATGAAAGCACTAAAATCTCAGATTTTATCACTGTATAATTCATCCACGAAACCAAAAAAAAACTTGTACCCCAAAAGCTATTGAAATAAGAAAAAAATAAAACAACAATCATTTTTTAAAATTTTTTTAAAAGGAGAATTGATTTAAAAAAAAGAACAATGACAATTCTCTAGTAAATTATAGCAGGGAAAGAAGAGATAAAATAGAATTCAAAAGGAACCAAAAGTACATTTTCAAAGGGGATTTACAAATTATAAGATAATTTTGCGTATAATTGACTGCTAATACATTTGAAAATCTCTGACATTTTAATGAAAATGTAAATTGCCAAAACTGGCTTATGAAGAAAAACAAAATCTGAATGAACCAATAACTTTGAAAAACACTTAAAACTCTGTCACTAAAACTAGTCCCATAAAATGGCACCAGTGCAAAATATTTTATAAAATAGACCTCTGGGATTCCTATGCTATTTAAATGTTTTTAGAACACACAAAGAGATAAAAAAAATTCAGTTATTTTTATAGCTTAATGCTGATATCAAAATGTTACAATGATACTCAGGAATAAAAACATATATTGGAAATATGTGTATATTAGATAGATAAATAATAGCAAATCAGACCCTGTATTTCAAGATTTAAAAATGAGAATTCTCCATAAGGTTACTCAAGGCAGAATGGATGTCAGTGAACAATCTCAGCAAATAGAAAAAGTAAGACTCATTTTCGTTATTCAAAAGTAATTCACCTTTGGGAACTCAAGGTAACTTAATATATTCACAAAATGACGGAAAAACTGTGAGATAACCTCTATAGACAGCAAGCAGGCATTTGGTAAAATTAATATCAATTTCTAAATAAAACGAAACATCTTTTCAGATTAGAGTTAGAATGCTCTCCTACATGTCATTGACTTGGGAACCGCAGGTGAGGTCCTTAGACCATGAGCATCTCCTGCAAGATAGCATTCAAGGGATGTGCAGTGAATATCTCCCAGCACCAGAGTGTGAAGCCAGCTGGCAAGGGACCAGTTTAAGGAAGAGCTTTCTTATCTCTTTAACACTCCTCACTCCCAATCTCCAAACTTGATGGGTTAGAAACTGCTTACCAAGCAGGAGTGCAGGAGAAGGGATAGCATTGGTGGAGAAATAAAAAACAGTGGCCGTGGAAGTCTTCTTGCCTGAGACATATTCATTCTGGGAGGGGAGAAGACTTAATCCTAAATCAACTTTGGAGTTCTCCTTAATATCTTGGACTTCATATTCCAATTTTTGGATTGAGATTGTTTGAAACTTAAATTTTAGACTGTTATCTAAGAGTAAGGAGAAAAACTATGTGTCTGCTGGAGTTTTCATCCAAGACCAAAGGAAAATTACCTCCACTAAGACATTGAAAAGGATTGGAGTTTTTATTATGTTGTCAGTCTTGCGTAGCTAATTGTACTGGTTACATTTACTTTCAGTCCCATATGAACATTTGAATCAGCTTGTCAAGTAACTAAAAAAAAAATCCTGTTAAGATTCTGAGTAGAACTGCATTTAATTTATACATTGATCTGTGGTAAAGTTACATTTTTATAATGCTAGGTGTTTTCCACTAGAGTGTTCTTTTTATATCCTCTGCCAGTTTTCTAATTTACTTCACATAGGCTATGCATATTTTTGTTAAGATTGTCCCTAAGTAGTTTTAATTCATTTGTATAGCAATAAGAAGTGCTTTTCCATTATAATTTCCCTTATAATTTCCACTTTTTGTCCTACAATTTCCATGTAATCATCACTATATATTGGAATTTATTGTACACTTTTGTGGGTCTTTAGTCCAACAACCTAACAAAGTTCTTTATGCTTATTTGTTGTTTTTATTGTCTAAATAATTAAATGGCCTGCAAATATCATTTTTTCTTTACTAATATTTATGCTTCTTTTAATTTTATTTAATGAATTTCATGGATTTTATGCAACTACATCAATTCACATTATCAGAGTGAGGCTATTTTGTTATATCAGCTGACTGAGGAGTGTATGTGTATGTGTACATGTGGCCAGTCAGGAGTATCTTCTGATATCAGTTAAGGTGATCCCATGGCTCTTATCCTTTGATATGTTAATAGTGAATTTCATTAATTGTTTTCCTGATGAGGAACTGTTATTATATGGCAATAACTATAATAGGAAGGGAGAAACCTTAGATATTCATAGTGCATTATGTTTTCAATTCAATGCAAAATATTATTTTATAAGTGTCCTATGTCTGAGTTTTGCATATATGTTTGTGAGGTTGGCCAAAATTATGTGTGTGGTGTGTGTGTGTGTGTGTGTGTGTGTGTGTACGTGCACATGTATGTTAGCCTTTTTTAGGGTTTAGTATCAAAATAGCATTAAATTGGCTGTGAAGTGTTATTTTTCTGTGCTCCAGGTCAGTCAGTACAACACGGGAATTACCTTATTTTTGAAAAGCAAACTGAACAGGGATGTTTTTATAGGGCTAGATCTTGACTACTTTTAAAAGTTTTTCCATGTTATTAGATCAGTGTGCTACCTTTTATTGATGTGATTTTACTAAATTATATGTTACCAGAAAAATCACTCACATTTTTTAGTTTTTCAATTTTTGCCCTGATAATGAATGTTTTATTCCTCTATCATTTTAAATAATTTTTAATTATCATTTTCTAATCTCCATGTTTTTTCTTTTTCATTTTTCTGTTTTTTAAATTTGGGTTAATTTGTTATGGATTTCCTATCTTATCAATTTTTTTCCAAAATAAACCCCCTTTCTTCATTTTATTATTCAGGATTTTTTATAACCTTTAAAAATTTCCATATTTTTTGCTTTTATCTTTGTCAAAGCAGTCTTCTTTTCTGAGGGGATTTATTTTGATTTATTTTCTTACTTTAATTGTATGCTTACTTATTTTATCCTCAATTTTCCTTTTTTCTTTTATATGAAAGTAAGACTATCTAAGGACTGCTAAGCCAACAGTTTACAGCTTCCAAAATGAAGTGCATTCATTGCAGTTTATTTCTAAATAGACATTTTAATTTTCTCTTTAATTCAAAATTTATTTAAAATCTTTTATATGGCCATTTTTATTAAAGTCTAACATACATACAGAAAAGTGCACAAGCAGTAACAGGATTGTGTGTTTCAAAAATTTTTTAGTATGAAATAAATAATTTTTGGTGTAAGTCATCCTTTGATGTATTTTCTGATTTTATTACATTACAGCAATAATTCAATGGTTTTTTTTGTGTTTTATTAAGATTTTCTTTAAGATCTAATACAGTGTCTTTTTTGAATACTCATGTTTTATAAAAACTATATTATTTCTGTTTGTTGGTACTAAGTTTCATAGAAAATAGACATATAAATACATATAATGATATCATTCACACATTTTCATCATATAATGTATCTAATGATATTTAATTATCCTTAGTTGTTCTAAAATTTGTTCGGGTCAGAGCACAGCTCACAAAGAAATTTATTTGTATGGCACACTCAGAAAATGAACAAAGCTGCTTGAAGCCTGAGGTAATTGGTTTTAGGCTGTGGCTGCCTCAGGTCCCACCAGGCCACTCCATGGCCACGTGGATCAAGATCTCAGCACTTCAGCGACCCATCTGCGGCGCATCGCTGTGGGAAGGGCTGGGAAGCTCGGCTCTCAAGCCTTTGTTATTGTTTACTTAATCTGCTGATTTCAGAAAACTGTGCATTAAAATGAGCTACATGAATGTGGATTTGTCTGTTTCCCTTTTACTTTGTTAGTTTTTTCTTTACAAATTTTGGATTAACATTGTTAGAGATCTAAAAATCTATGATTCATATGGATTCCATGATTTTTAAGGATTATATTATTTATCAATATTTTATCTCTCCATTGTCTTACTTAGAAATCCTCACTTTAAATTCACTCTTGCCTAAAATTAATATTGCTATTTTGGGGTTTGTACTATAACAGTGTACCTGGGACAAATGAAAGAGTCAATTTACGTTACTTACAAATGGTACACCTAAAACAGAATGAAACATACATTTTGCCTTTTACGTTTCATTCTGTTTTAGGTGTGCCACTTGTAAACAGTACAGAGCCATTACCCAACCTGAGGATCTCTTTCCTTCATATTCATTTTCATTATTTCCTTTGGACTTATTTTTGCACTGATATTTTCGACTTGATGGGCTTTTTCAGCGTTTATTTCTATTTCTCTGTCCTGTTTTTGTTTTAAGTAATTGAGTTTTCTTTGTTCATGTTATTCCTCTAGTATTTTCATGTTTATACATCCTATATAAATTTTGCTGGTGAAAACTCTTAAATCATTGGATCACATATGAATCTCTAGAGCCAGCCAGTATCTATATCTTTTATTTCAACAAGATAAAAGCTTTACGAAAATTTCATTTCCCCCATCTCTCTAACCCTAGCCTCCTTGTATATTAAGGTACAGATTGATGTTAAAATATTTTTTAATTATGCAAAAATAATTATTTCAACTATAAGCTCTATCGGTTGCTGGGGTTTGGTGATGTGGCTTTCTTTGTTACGGTTTTGTTTTAAGTTTTTTGCAAGGCTATTTAAAAAAACAAAACAAAGCATATATCTTCCCTGTCTTGAATTTATTATTTATTTTGATACAATCTATGCTCAAACAAGTCTTTTGGAAGATTCTCTGAGTTGTGAGTTTAAGAGCCCTTGCATTACCAAGAACATCTTTATATTTTCCTCTCATCTGAGTGGTAGTTTGTGTGTCAATTCTAGAACTCTTCTTTCAAAATGATTTTATCTCATACCTCTGAAAAAACTTCCTCCATTATTCTTAGCATCCAACATTGCCAAAAAGAATTTAGGTGATAATCTAATCTTTACTAATTTCTTCTTTTCTTTTTCTGCAAACTTAGAAGAATTTCTCTATTTTATTCTGCACTTTTATTAGCACATATCTAGATGTAAATGTTGGTTTATTTAACAATTAAAATTAATCCCAAGTAGCACTTTTTGGGTCTTTAGGTTTGAGAACTCTATCTCAAACCACTTACTTTCTTCTGAAGAGTAAGCTGTAATCTGTCCTCAAAAAATAGGTATTCCTGCTGTTAGTTACCTATGGAGAGGGCAGGTTGCTGGGTAGGAAGCTGAGACTTAGAAGGTGTGGTAGGCAGAATGGCCCTTCATAGATATCCCATACTAATTCCCAGAACCTGTGAGTATGTTGAGGCATTCCTGCCATGATTTTGTTACATTATATGGTACAGTTGACCTTAAGATGTGGAAATTATCTAACTGGGCCTGGCCCAGTCTCATGAATTCTTGACAGCAGTGTGCTTTCTCTCAAGCAGAAGGGGAACTTAGAAACACTGGAAACATAGAAGACTCAATATATCATTACTGCTTTGAAACGGAGGAGGCCATATTCAGAGAATACGGAATAAGGGATATGAGAGCCTAGAGGAGCTGAAGGCAATCCAGGCCAACAGTGAGGGAAAAAATTGCTACCTTAGACCTATAACTCCAAGAAACTGGATTTTGTCAAAAACCTGAAAGTCGTTGGAAGTGGATTTTTCCCAGAGCCTCCTGATAAGAACCCAACCAGTCAACACTTTAATTTTGCCTCTACTGTAAGGTCCTAAGAAGAGAACCCAGTCATGCCTACCCAGACTTCTAATCCATAGAACTGCGAGATAATAAATAGGTGCTGCTGTAAGCTGTTAAACTTGTGATAATTGTTGTGCAGCAGTGGAAACCTTTTTCAAGTGGGAAATAAATCCCTGCTTCTTACTCTTGGGCTTTGAGGATGGGAAATATTTGGGTAGGAAAGCTAAGTAAATGGTGACAGTATAATAAATGGAAGATCTCAGAAGAGAAAATTGCACATTTTGTAACTAATGTCATACAGTCAAGGCCCTTGCAAACCCTTTCTTTTTTTTTGAAACAGAGTCTTGCTCTGTCACCCAGGCTGGAATGCAGTGGCACTATCTCGGCTCACTGCAAGCTTCGCCTCTAGGGTTCATGCCATTCTCCTGCCTCAGCCTCCCGAGTAGCTGGGACTACAGGCACCTGCCACTGTGCCCGGCTAATTTTTTGTATTTTTAGTAGAGATGGGGTTTCACCGTGTTATCCAGGATGGTCTCAATCTCCTGACCTCGTGCTCTGTCCACCTCGGCCTCCCAAATTGCTGGGATTACAGGCGTGAGCCACTGCGCCTGGCCAGGCCCTTTTAAGTTGGAGAAAGTGATCAATTTCCTTATATTGATTCAAACTAGGTCAAAGACATATCCTTCTTAGGTGGATATTACTTCTCTTGTTTAAAATTAGGAAATCATAGCTCATAAGATGAAGTGACTTGCTCTGAGCCACATAGTCACAGTCGGGCTGGGGTTTAAAACAAAACTTGTCTCTTTTCCCAAACTCTGAGCATTAGTTCATTCATACCTAACACTCCAGTTCAAAGGTTGGGACAGCTCTTTTCTGAGCCCTAGACTCCTAGACGGGGACCTGACCCTGCCTGGATCCTACCAGCTCCTTCACTTAAGATCTCCATCTAGTCCTGCTTAGATTGAACTTCACAGCTGACTCCCACTGCCTCTTAAACACCAATATGGAAGCCTACGGGAATCGCCCCCAGGCCCACCAGTGGCCCTAAAGCTAAATATTACATCCATCCATCTCCTTTACTTTCTCCTCAAGGAGCCAGCTCCTCCATCTAGACATTTGCCTCTTATTCTAAGACCATACTCCATTCCCTTCTGAAGTAGGAGGAGAAGACATTTGAAAATATACGCATGTCTTTTTTTAGTTGTCACAGTAACTGAGGGGTGCTCAACCATTGAAGTGTACTGTTCCTACAATTCATGGGTCAGTTCACACAATGAAAAACTGTCTTGCCCTAAATGCCAATAGCACCCCAGTTAAGAAACACTTGACTGTGGTCATTTTCACTTCCCCGTGACGTGAGGCAGCACATCACCCAATTTTATCCAAACTAGTTGTATCTGCCATACAATGCCTGCTGCGATCTTGCCTCTACCCACCTTTCCAGAACTATTTCCTTCTATGAATGTCCTGGGACACCTTATACACTGCCATTCCTTTCTGCCTCAGGATTCCTACACCCTTTTCCTCTAATATCTTTCTTCTACTTGTCTATTTGCCTGGTGACAGGCAATCATTCATCCCCAAAGTAGCTTAAGTTCCACTTTTAGGAGGCTCTTCCTAAGTCCCTGAGGCAGGGTCTCAGTGAGGACGGAGGTCTACTCTGTATCTCTAGAATTTAGTATTAATAAATAGTCCGACAAATAAAGTAGTTGTTTAAAGAATATTATTAAATAAATAAATAAGTGAATAAATAAATTAATTCTGTAACCAATGATGGATTATTGAGTAAATGAGCAATTGAATGGGAAGAAAATATGCATTACATATTGCTCTGTGATACATTTCACCTCCTAAATAGCCTGCAAGCATCAAATACCATCCATTGTCTTATGTGATACTGAACTCAAGCTAAAGCAGTGCTCTCAATGCATTTCAAGGTGACTTAAACAGTCTCCTCCTCTTATGTTCATAAGTACTTTGCTTGTTATCGGCTGTGCACTGTGCACATGGTACTTTGCCCCTCCTTGGCAGGCTGGTGGCTGGTCTGGACCATGAAGCTCTCTCAATGAGTGTGATGTCTGGACTGCCAGGGGCAGTGACCAGGAGAGCCAGGCAGTGAGTGGCTACTGGCTGTGTCTGGGTGCCTGAGTAAGGGGGGCAAGCTCAACTGTCCCTTTGCTGTTCTCTTGATCTGGATTCCTTCACCTAGAATATTATTAAAAATGGAAACATCCCATTTTAAATAACAGAAGAGTTATTTTAAAAGTACTGTAACTTTGCATCAAAAATGTATCATCTTTTCAAAATAAGCATATCATTACATATGAAGCCTCTGGAGGCCGTGTGCATTGACTGAGGCCTCTCTAGTTCCCTGCATTGGTTAAATGGGAATGTTAAAAGCCCACTTCTCAAAAGTGAGAAGTGCACATAAGGAATTTTGTGCTAGGGATGTGGAAACTCCTATATACTGTACTCATTTATTCATGTGCTTCAGATGCATCATTTACTGTACATCCATGATATCCCAGGAATTAGGAGTCTGAGGAATGCCAGCACTGTTATTCTCAGAGTTCGTGGTCTAACACTGGAGACCAACCCATGGAATTTATGATGAGAGAGGTTGAGGCAAGCAGGGGGCTGACTTCACAGGGCAGACATCCTTCACATAGCCCAGGGGAATCGGAGGAGGAGATAGGAGAGATTCTAAGGACAGATGAGTTCCAAATCTGAATTGTCATAAAGTAGTAAAGACCAAGAGAGGAAGAATTCCAGAAAGAGAAACCAGCTTGTGCTGCAGAAATGCCAAAAGCTGCTATGAGTATTGTTCCTATCACCCTTCTTATGACTGCCCATTTGTGAATAACACTTGCCTAATTATTAATGATACACTGCTTTGTGTCCTATTGTACCATCACTGAATGCTACCTCTTTGTTGCATTGTTGTTAAAGTCTCACTTGTTTGTATGTAGTCTCCTCAAAGATCTATGATGTTTTTTCCCTGCATCCTAAACAGAACTCATGCAGAAACAAAACTCATCTGCTTCCCCAACCTGTTCCCTCTTCAACCATCCCTTCTACAATCCCTCAGTCACACAGACTCAAGGCTTTGGGTTCATCTTTAGCACCTCCTTTCCCTCTCCTACTTCCGTTCTTTTCTCCCTGTCCTCTGAGAGACACCAATCATGAAGGTTCAGTACTTGCGCCTCGGTTAAGTTTCCTTCCCACCCCCAACCCCAGCAACATCTCCTCTCCCAGACCTAGGACTGCCTGAACCTCTCTGAGGGTTCTGAGGGGCCTCAGTTATTGCCGCAGGCTCCGCCCTGGCCTCTTGTCCCCCAGGCTTGTCCTCTGACTGTCTGTGCACATGGGCTGAATGACTGAACTCCACTGTCTCTGTGCTTCTGGTGTTACCCTAGCCCTTTCAGCCCAGCAAGATGGACATAACGTCTTTCTTGCATATTACAGGGATGCGATGAGACTCGAGACCAGTTTAATATGGTGCCAGGCACAAGGAATTGGAAAAAGTCAGATTTTGGATGTTACTAATGTGCTTTTTCTTTGGCCTCTCCAAGCACTAGATCTTTAATATGCTCCAGAGATTTGTGTGGTGTGTGTGTTTGTGTGGCCAGGTTGAAGAACAGGGTTTTGACATACAGAAAGAAAGAAGAAAAGAAAGAAAGAAGAAAGAAAGAAAGAAAGAAAGAAAGAAAGAAAGAAAGAAAGAAAGAAAGAAAGAAAGAAAGAAAAGGCAGGAAGGAAGGAAGGAAGGAAGGAAGGAAGGAAGGAAGGAAGGAAGGGAATTATGTAGCAAGACAATAATCCCCAAGCCAGACTATTGTTTTCAGAGAAATTTACTGAGTGCATTTTTTTTTTCACACTGGCATATTTAGAACCAAATTTGGATAGCTATATTCTTAGATCTTTCCCAAAGTGCAGAGGAAAACATTCTTCTCTACCCCTAAGATTTACTGCAGTCAGAAATAAGGAGCCTCTGACACACAGGGAGAAGAAATGTTCAACCCATTGCAACTTTTCCAGGCTGTTCTCCATTCTGGGGAAATGGCTTCAGATTCCAGCACTTATTATAGAAAAAAATAAATCTTAGAAAGAACTTGGTGAGAGGGGCAACGGGATGGGGCCTTGACAGAGGAAGGCGGAGATGCATGGGTCTGCTACCTGTGAGAGCTGAGGGAGGCTAAATCTGCAGAGATGAGTGACTTTTTCCCCCTAGGGAGAATTGCTGAAGCCAAAGGTATGTGGACAGTCCATCAGTAATAGCTGCAACATGATGATCACCAGAGTTCCCTGCAGCCAGGTAGCCATGTAAACAACAAAATGTGCAACCTGGTGCAATTCTGAGGATCCAAAGAATCACAGGGTCCTCTGCCTTTCCAAGGCCAGGAGGCCATTTTAACTTCCCTTCCCATATACTCAGACTCTATCTTAGGCAAAGGAGTGGGGTTGTGGGGGAAGGGGCCCCCTAAATAATGAAACAATTTTTTTTGAGACAGCATTTCGCTCTGTTGCCCAGGTGGGAGTGCAGTGGCACGAACACGGCTCACTGCAGGCTCAGCTTCCTGGACTCAAGCAATCCTCCCACCCCAGCATCCCGAGTAGCTGGGACTACAGGCATGCGCCACTGTGTGCAGCCAATGAAACACTTTGTATCAATTCTGAGCCTGAATAATGCCTTGAGAGAGTTCTTCAGTTTTAATATGAGACTAAACTCTATACCAGACTGAAATAATTGAGATTTTAGTAGTTTTTGTTTTATTTGATGTGAGTGTGTGTGCGTGTGTGTGTGTGTGTGTTTGGTGTGTGAGTGAATGTTTTATTGCATTCTGGCTAACCAGCATAGAGAGATTTTTGAGAAGGCCATTTGATTATACACAAATTTTTAAAAACAACTACCATTTTCTCTGCAAATCCAAGTTGTTGTGAGAGTTGGCTTTTTGCCTTCCTCTGCGTAGCCTTCCAATCCATTGTAGTGAGGAGAAAGATGAATAGGAAGAGAAGAAAACTGGAATACAATCCCAAGAATTGATTTAACCTGATATCTAACTGACTCTATGATCTATCCTGACCTACCTTCAAATATTATTTTTCATTTATTCCTTTAATCTACCCAATCCCTTTCCAAGGATCATTTCTTCCAAATTCAGAGTCTCTCTGAAAATGAGCTACAGCTTCCTAATTAGAAAATTGTTCTCATGCTTGTGGCAGGGGCCTCCTCCTGCTCCCACCTGTCTCAATGCTTCTCTGAAGCTCGTTTTCTTCCTCTCTTTGTTCTAAGTTCATGGACTCTGGGTATCCAGGGCTGAGCCTCAGTGGACACAAAGAATAAGAGCTGAAAGTGGAGATGAAGAGAAACTGGATCACCCGTCTGCCAAAGGCATGGGATCAGATAAGAACTAGGGAGCAGATACAAAGAGAAGGGGCTCTCTACAAGTGACACAAAAATGGCCTTTGTGTGGAAGAGGCACTGCTAGGAGTTGAGGAAGCAGCCTGGCTGGGCCATTTTTGCGAATCCTAGCAGTGGCCTCTGGTCTTGTTTGCTTCTCAGCTTTCTCTCTTTCCAGGTATCAAGCTTCAGGCCAGCATGGGCTGGGATCTCAGCAACAGGTGCCTGTGAAGGGGAGAAGAAATCTCGTAATAAAGCCAGTTTCATTATTAAAATGACTCAAGAAACCCCCATTGGTTGTTTTCTGCTGAGTGCCTGGCCCTGTGCTAGGAGAATCAGGGAGAAGGGGGTTTCTTCAGAAGTCCCCTGTGCCAATGAGTGTGCCCAGTGGAGTGGGATATATTTATATTCACATATCAGGATCAACCAGCAATAGCACGGATGCTGCTGGTGGTACTGCAGACTCTTAGCTCAGTGCTCTGTTTCCATGACACTTCTTCTGAATTATTATCAAAACAAGTCTACATGAGCTAATACTGTGCATGCTCACTCTGCTTAAACCCTTCCACTCCCAATCCTGTCTCTCTTCTGTGCCCCCATAGAACTATGTTCATTTCTTTACTGGTCTGTAGTATTTTGTCATGAGGATTACAAAGCAATTCTTGAGATTTTGGAGAATATTAATTGGTTGCTTCAACAGCTATTTTGAAAACCATTAAAATTTAAGTTGTTTTCCTTACCAAGTAGTGGCAGAACAAACTGAGCCTGTAGGGAAACTTTGAGGGTTGGCATCAGAATCAAGGTGCTGAATTTGGGGCTTCCAGGTCTAAGGACTGTACCAAGTTGGCCGCATCAAAATATCCTGCTTTTCCCTTCTGTACGGGCTTGGACTGGGTGACTGCTTTGGGATCTTGGGGCCTGGTCCCCGACTGCCTTGTGTTCTGGCTCGGAGTATATGGGCCATCTCCCCTTCTAAGACTGAGCACTGTGTGTCAGGACTGGGCGGGTTTTGTCTTTGCTCTCACAGTGATGCCCTGAACAGCTTTTACAGCTTCTGCAAAGATGTGTGAAATTGAATCATAAACCAGAAGTTCCATCCAGCCGCCCAGTGAACTTGGCAAAGACAGAAGTGTTCATCTTCCTTGTGTTGTGTTCGCCCACATGAATCTCTCCTCCCATTCCCAGAATGGCCCCGTCATCCTCTCCTTTTCCCTGTATAAGTGAGTTCTCAGCCAGTTGGCTCTGCTCTTCCACCCTAGACTCACCAGGATCCGCCTTCCCTCATCCTTACTAGCTCAGGCAGCTGCAGCTTTCTCCCCAATACCTTTGACTTCTTGGATCCTTGTGCTGCTGCCAACAGTGTATTTCCAGACCTGCATTCAAGATGATCCTTTCTGTGCCAGCCCTCCTCAACCTGCCCACTCTTTCTGCCGCTTACTAAAAAAACCACAGAACCTTGACATGAAAGGAGCTGACCCAGCGTAGAAATTATCTCCTTCTACAGCATTGCAAGGCTGCCAAGAAACCCTGCTTGAGTGTGTCCAGTGACAGCAGACACCCTGCCACACTATTTGTGTAGTTAGTGTGTGGCACTAACAAAATTTGTGTAGCTCTATTTTGTAGCTCTATTGTGTAGCAATTTGTGTAGCTCTAACAGAAAGTTTTCCTCAAAATCAGAGAAAACCAAAAAGGGCCTTGTAAAGTTCTCGGAATACAAATCTATCATGGTGCAAGAATGAAACAGGGCCAGTCCATCAAAGAAATGCAAATCAAAACCACAATGAGATACCATCTCACACCAGTTAGAATAGCGATCATTAAAAAGTCAGGAAACAACAGGTGCTGGAGAGGATGTGGAGAAATAGGAACACTTTCACACTGTTTGTGGGACTGTAAACAAGTTCAATCATTGTGGAAGTCAGTGTGGTGATTCCTCAGGGATCTAGAACTAGAAATACCATTTGACCCAGCCATCCCATTACTGGGTATATACCCAAAGGATTATAAATCATGCTGCTATAAAGACACATGCACACGTATGTTTATTGCAGTACTACTCACAATAGCAAAGACTTGGAACCAACCCAAATGTCCAACAATGATAGACTGGATTAAGAAAATGTGGCACATATACACCATGGAATACTATGCAGCCATAAAAAATGATGAGTTCATGTTCTTTGTAGGGACATGGATGAAGCTGGAAACCATCATTCTCAGCAAACTATCGCAAGGACAAAAAATCAAACACCACATGTTCTCAGTCATAGGTGGGAAATGAATAACGAGAACACATGGACACAGGAAGGGGAACATCACACACTGGGGGCTGTTGTGGGGTGGGGGGAGGGGGGAGAGATTGCATTAGGAGATATACCTAATGCTAAATGACTAGTTAATGGGTGCAGCACACCAATATGGCACACGTATACATATGTAACAAACCTGCACATGGTGCACATGTACCCTAAAACTTGAAGTATAATAATAATTAAAAAAAAAAAAAAAAAGAATAAAACAGGGCCAGAAAGCTACAAAGACATGTCAGGGCAAGTTCAGGGTTTAAAAAGCTACACTGCCTTCCAGTCAAAGAGCACGCCATGTGCAGTCTCCCTTGGGTCTAGCTGGGCTCTGGCCCCCCGTAGTGTCCACCTCTAGTCTTATTGCTGTCCTCTGGGGCCACAGGGGACTTTGCACAACTACTCTCATGGGTTTCTGGAAACTTCTCTTCCTCAGGGTCAGTGCCTCCCAGGCTTTTATACATGCCATCATCCAACCTGGATTACTTTTTCTACGGTTCATATTCAGCCTTTCTTTCTAGATACATTTTTCTGTACCTCCCTTTGGAAGCCATATCTGATAACCTGTCTTCAACTTCTGCTTAATTCTGCAGCAGTTTAGCAAAGTTGACCAGAAGTCTTTCTACCATTTCCATGGGCTTGTTTTTCTCAAACAGAGCTTCTGGAAGGCAGGGACTCATGTTTGTTTTATTGCCCATATGTAAAGAAACCACACTGGAATTTTTCTTCAGCGACTGCCTTCTGACTTCCTAATTGTGTCTAACGTCGTATGAGGAAAGTGAAGCCCATGGAGGTTGCTGAGTCCCAAGTTCCTTCGGCTGAGTGCTATCAAAGCAGGACTGAAACCCAGGTCTCCTGACTCCCATTCCAGTGCTGATTTTTTTCCCAAATATGTCCCCTTGGCCTATAGAATTTTAATACAACAATTCTTTCGTGAATTACTTGCCTATTCAGGTGTCTGTATGTCCTCTGATTAACATGATCACTCTTGTCTATCTTAAATAACATCAACAAATTCATGCATAATCTCTAATTGAGCCTTTTTTAAGCCTTTGTAAAGAACTATGTACAGACCATAAATGCTTTTTTGATGATAATAGTGATTTTTACCAAAAGCCTTCATTTAGGATAAGTGTGCAACTGCAGGAAGCAAGGCTACTGTTCCTACTCACATTCCCACGTTCACTACAAGCAACTTCAAAGAAACTCTGCAGATGAAGCAATGCCACTATATTGCAATTTAAGCTTTCTTCAGTCATTTCTCTGCAACCACACTCAAATTTTCAATTCCTCAAATAGAAAATGAACTGAATAGACATTAACAAAGTAATCTCTCTACTTCTTTGAAAATTGCAAACTAGCTGAATTTTTCTCTTATGGTTGATAATAGCCATGAAGAAACCAATCATAACTCCTTCTCTTCTGCCTCCCAAATACATCATTTGAAAAAACTTCCTTTATTGGGTAATAAAACGAGAGGAAAAATCATATTAGAGACTAATGAACTCATATAGTGTTATTTTCATCACTTAGTAACCTCAGGATATGAATAATTTTCTTAAACGAATTTTTTAAATGTGGACTAAGGAATCCAAATCCTTAAAAGCCTGAAGTTGTCAAAGTAGAGTGATAACTTTTTTCAAGTTTATAAATTTTGAGACAGAAAAACAGTCTTTTACAGCTTTAGCTGTCTTTAACTTCAATCGCATATTCTAGCTAAAGTCATTAAGCCCAAGCACTGACCTAGATTGAGAAAAAGAGGACATCAATTCTAAAGACATGAACATTTGGGACAATAATTGTAGCCACAGCTCAAAGAGGAGACATCCTGTTTTCCTGTAGGGATGGACAGAGAACTTCACAAAGCACACACTACCGGCTGAGGCAGTACCTAGGAATCAAACTGGGCACCACTCAAAGCAGGCATTAGCTGGGCTGATCCTGGAGAGTTTGTCACAGCCTTTAGTGACTTCAGAAGTGAAAGGAGAGAAGATGCAGTGGAAGGGTTAGTTGTGTAACCAGGAAGGGTTGGCACTTTGCTAAATATGTGGAATTATTTGAGAGTCAAAAATAAGCCAGCTTCACCCCCGTGTTTCCTGTGCACTTACCTACAAAGTGTCTGGCCTGCCTGCAGAAGAATCTTCCTTTCTACTAAGGTTTTGTGTGTTCCTTTCAGAATATATACGTCCTTATGTCCTCTGAAAAGTAATTCAAACTGAGCTGATGTGGAAAACACTCCCCTTACTCAAAACACTGTAGACATGCCGTCTTAAAAATGGAAAAAGTAATCAGCTAGGAATTGTAAATCCATAGCCTAATTTGAGACCAAGAAAGGAAAATTCCACATTGAGAAAAAAATTAGAGGGGATCTCAAAATGGTAAGTGAGATTTAAAACTGAAAAGTGTTACAGGGAAATTGGAACCTGGTACAGGCCTTAACAGCTGGCACTAAGGATTAATGCCACCCAGAGAGGGGAATTCAGCCAGGAGCCCCATGTGTGTGGGCAGCTGAAACTGAGTGATCTGAATTGATTCTGCAGCCACTGGTATTGTTGTTTGTAAAAAAATCACTGCCCACCAGCTGGGCGCAGTGACTCACACCTGTAATCCCAGCACTTTGGGAGGCTGAGGTGAGTGGATCACTCAAGGCCAGGAGTTAGAGACCAGACTTCCAACATGGTGAAACCTCGTCTCTAATTAAAAAAAAAAATAGCTGAGTATGGTGGTATGCGCCTGTAATCACAGCTACTCGGAAGGCTGAGGCAGGAGAATTACCTGAACCGAGGAGACAGAGGTTGCAGTGAGTCAAGATTGTGCCACTGTACTCCAGCCTGGGTGACAGACAGAGTGAGACTCTGTCTCAAAAAGAAAAAAAAAATGGAAAGAAGTAGAAAATCACTGTCCATCTAACCCAAGAAAGCTGTAATGAAGCTTCTTATCCACCTAGGTCAGGGAATAAAAATAAACACACCTGCAAAAAATCAAAACACAGGAAGGGTTCCAAATCTAAGCTAGTTGAGTTTTCCAGGACACCAAAGAAATAAATTAACATAAAGATTAGTCCAGTACACTTAAGCTCATAAAGCATCAGTGATGCAAATGAGAAACTGTCACCCAAAGCAAATCACATGGGTTTCTAATAGAAAATATCCTCATAGCCAAAATTATAAACCATATAAGAAAATGGATGACACAGAAGAACAATTAAGAGAAACAATAAATAATCCTGGAGATTGCAAAAACTTAAATAAAAGTAAAAGTAATTCAAATCAGTAGCTTCAATTAGGGTTTCTCTTAGGATTTCAAGAATAATTCAGCAGCAGAAATGCTACCAGTATATTTTATCACATTAAACAAATTAAAGGAGAAAAGCCATAGGAAATATAGAGAAAATGTTAGATAAAATTTGCCATCATCTGTGATAAGGACCCTTAGAAAACGCAAAATAAAAGAAGATGTTCTTAATTTTATAAAGAGTGGCTACCAAAAACTTATTGAACTACCACAACTAAAGGTAAAATTCTAAAGATATTCTGAGTAAACTCAGAAATGAGGCAAGGGTGATTGATATATGCACCATTGTTCAACACTGTACTGAAGATCTAAGCCTGTGTAATAAGATAAGAAAAATAAATTAAGAGGAATAAGAATTTGAAAGACAAAGTAACAGCTACACTTAACTGTAATTAATGTGACGGTCTATATCAAGGGTTGAAAAACTGTATCTGTGAAAAACCAGAAGTAAATATGTTTGACTTTTTAGGACATACATTCTCTATCACAACTACTCAGCTCTGCCACTGAAGCATAAAAACAGCCATAGATCATACACAAGTGAATTAATTTAGCTATGCTCCAATATAACTTTATTTATAAAAACAGGTTGTGGGCTACATTTGATCCAAATGTCATAATTTGCAAACTTCTGATTTATACAGAATAAAAAGACAAATATTGAAAATCAATAAAAGATTTCATCAGGATTGCTGCAAATAAAATCACAATATATAAATCAATAACTTCTTACATGTTGGCAATAACTAATTAAAACTCTCTTATTCACAATATCAAAATGATCCATTCACAATAGCAATAAAAATTACAGAGTACCTAAAATAAATCTAAAGATTATAAGCAATACTGTTACAAACAAAATTACTAAAAATTATTATTTAAAAGAAAAACAATAAATGAGAATATATATTAATACTATGTTCATAGAAGGAACTATAAGATATCATAACTAGGTTGGTTCACCCTATGTTAATTGCAAAAATACTAAAACATTCTCATCAAAAAGCCAGTATGTATTCATGTGAAGTGTCTATATATACACACACATTAATATATATGTATGACTGCATGTGAATATATATATATTATATATTCAGACTTTAGAATATATATATATATATATACATCAAAGTCCATATCAAAGAGAAAATGCCAAAGAAAGCCAATAAATTTGTATAAAAATCAGGAAAAAATCGCTTCTCAGCCTTTTGGCTAAGATTAAGTATAAAAATCAGGAAAAAAAAGTTGACACATTAAATATCAGAGATGAAGATGTATTATAAAAATAGATTAATCAGAACAACGTAGTATGCAAACAGGGATAGATGTGAACTTGGTTTACATTAGAAGAGGTATTAGAAAACAAAATGGAAAAGATGGTGTTGGCACAAATGGCTTTTTCTAAAAGAAAATAATTAGATCCCTTTCTTATACTATTTTCCCAAATATATTTTATACGTATCAAAGTGAAAAATAAACTTTAACATTAGATGTAAACATTGAAAAAATATGTTTTTGACTTTTGGTGAGAAAAAGCTTCCTTAAAGAAGAAACAAACAAAAAAACCCGAAATTATAAAATGATTTAAATTGGCTTTAACAAAATTAAGCCCTTCTATATGATAAAAGATGCCACAAAGTGAAAAAGAAAGCCACAGATTAGATAAATTAGCAACACATATAGTAAGTGATTAATTAATATTCAGAAAATAATATCTGACTTTCATAAACAATAATAAACTATTCAATTATAAATTATAAAAGATACAATAGCCATAATTACAAAGGATAGGTTTAAATATTTTTCAGAAAAGAAAAACTGAAAAATCAGTAAACATATGAAAAGATGCTCAGTTTTCAGTCTTTCATTAGTAATTAAGAAAATGTCAATGAAAACAATAAAATTACATCTCACAAATAAAAAATACCAGAAAATTTGACAACAGAAATATTGGAAAATACGTGGAGACATCAATAAGCTGATGCATTGTTACTGTGAGCAATAAAATGGTAGAACCATTTTAAAGAGGAATTTGTCAATATCTGGTAAAACTGAATATGTACATAGTCTACAGAATCATGTAGTAATCATGAAGGAACATTCTAAAAACCCAAACTATTGAGTTGAAGAAACAAAAGAACCATAATATTATATGATAGCATTTACATCAACTTTAAAACCATGCAATATATTAAGTGTATATAGCTGTTTAAGGAATGTGCAGATAGTGTGAATGGAAAGATTCCCAAGAAATTTATGATAGTTGTTGTGTCCATAAGGAGAAGAATGGCAATGGGGCTGGAAGATGTGTCAGTTGGGTTAAGTATGGTTATAACAACTCCAACATGCTACAGGAGGGGTACAAGTTGTTGAAGCATCTCACATTGCTCACATTGCCCACATTGCCAATTAAGGCTTCCAACCCAACAGTGACTTACGACTGCCCACAAACCAATGGTCAGAACTGATCACATGACCCTGCAAAGGTGGCAGGGAAATGTAGTCCTCTCGATGCCCCTAAAAAGAGAAGAGCCCGAAATGACTTGGCACTGATTTTCAATTTTCAGTTGAACATTAATCTTATTACCTAAGAGGAAACATTGAAGCACAAATAACAAAATGTTAATATTCTGGGTGACAAGAACATAGATGTTTGTTACATTAATGTTTGTCAATGTATCCCTTAGAATGAGGTAAGCACCTCTCAGTCATTACTCCTTAGTGTGAATTAGATTATCAGTGCTTGGATCAAGACAAAAAATAAAAAAGAAATAGATGCATGCTGAAATCACACTTTAGTTACTGACACACTCCCCCATCACCTTCAATAACTAGTAGAATCTCCTTAGAAAGTTAGAAAATTTATCTATAATGGCCACTCTCTAAATCTCCCATTACTTCAGTCAAACTGAAGTATTCATAATGTCCTGAGTAAACTCACATCTGGGTACATTTGTTGTTATTTCTAACTTTCTCCCTTTTTCCCTCTGGGTCAATTCTACTCAACCTAAATATGTAAAAACATAAAATGTATTCCAAACATCAGTGACACTTGGTTGGAAAAAAATAAAAGCAAAACAAAACAAAACAAAAAAAAACCCTTGACCACCTGCAGGAAATGAGCATCAAATTAGTACGCGTGTCACTTTGGCAATAAACAAAACCAACATATTCTGCTGTGTTTCTTCTGCTAGGTGTAATAATGATTTTTTGTTTTGCTTTTCGCAGTCCTTTCACTTCTGTCACTTTATATGATTTTTTCAACATTCTTATGAGGTTGACGGGGCAGGCATTTATTATCCAGAGTGAACAAATAAAGATATTGAGACAAGAGAAGTTTGCTGACCCACTCAAAATCATACAAGGAATTCAAAGTAGAGCTGTTCCCACCACCCAGGGCTGAAGACTACGAGCTCTTCCCATTAGATCACTCTGCCTGTTTAGAAGGGCAGTTTCTGATTCTTGTCCACATATTTGGCCAGGGCCTTACACCATATACACTCATCCTTCTTGGAGACAAGACTTAATGGAAGCCAATGGAATCCATGAGAAATTGTGGAGGAACTTGATAATTTTCAAACAGAAGACGAGCATCCTAGATAGGCAACACACTGCAAACTTTGGTGTTCATATCAGAAGGTGGGGTGAATGTTCAGTATCAGGGAGACCCAAAAACACCAGCCTGGATGCAGCACATGATTGCTGTGGTTTTGAATCCCAGCTCTGCCACTTACTTGCCTTATGACTTTGGGAAATCATCTTCCCTCTCTGGGCCTCAGTTTCTCTGTCTGTCAAATGAATAAATAGGTTTAGATTATGTCTAAAGCCCCTTCTCCTCTGAGATTCTAAGAGCTGGAAATGATTAACTATGTATAGTAAAAGTTAATATTCCTTTTTCCTTTCTAGAAGAAAACCCACATTAAGTGGATTCACCGTATAGATGAAACATAGAAATCAGAAAATTAACAGCATTTATATATATAAACATAAAAAACACCAGATTTTCTAAAATTTTCCATTTTCTCTCCCACTAACAGATGGGAAGCAGTTTGATGGAGTTTATCAGAGGAAGCAGCTGCCATCCTACATGAGTGACACTAATGAGACAGGTGAAATATTCAAGAGCCCAAGACTGTCTTCAAGAAACTACTGCAGCTCTGGCAGGGTCATAGTGGGCTTGCCTGTAGGTTTGTCTTCTGCTCTAAAAATAGACTGTGTAAATACTATTTTTTATAATGATGATGACTATTATTTAGAGCTTGCCCCAGCCTCCAGGCAAATGTCCCAGGAAGAACAAAAGGACGCTTAGTATAATTAAAACAAAGAAAATGTAGAGGTGTTGGCATGTGAGAAAAGGAAGTGTTTCAACATCAGAAGCCAAGAACTATTTGTTGGATTTGATTAATAATCACTAATGTGGATTTTATTTTAAGATCACACAACAGTGTGGAGTTTTGCTTTATTCATACACACACAAAAGCAGCCAAACAGCTCTATTTATGAAAAAGTTATTACATTGCCCTTCTGGGCTTGATTGTACTTTTCCAGAAATAATTTGAAAGGGCAATTTTTCTAATCTCTGGATCTTGAAGATTCAGGATCGGTGTAATTCAGATCAACTCAGCGGATATGAATTAAGTTTGGATTAGATGTCAATATTAAGTTTAAATTAAGTTTATATTAGATATTTAGATGTCAAACATTGAGAACACAAACATTGTGTGTTTTTGCGTGTATATATAATTTATAATTTTCAGGAGCCCAGGAAGTAATAGGCAGAATTAAAACACTGTGAGATACATTCTAGGAAGAGGAAATAGCAGGTATAAAAGCAGATAGAAGTGATAAAATATCTCAAGTTAAAGAGCAGAGAGAAATGCAGCAGAAAGAACAAGTAAAAGCAGATTATAATTTGGCCATATGAGTTCTGCAGAGAATGTAAGACTCTGGTCTAGTGTAATGGGGAGCCACTGAAGAGTTTCAATAAAGGGATTCCGTGATCATAGTTGTCTTTTGGAAAGGTCACTTGGGCTGCAGGATGGACAGCGAATTAGATAGGCTAGATATGAAGGCAGGGAGATCAGCCAGAAACCTGTTGAAATAACTGTGCTGAAAACTGATAAGGGGTTGATCTGGGCAGTGGCTGAAGGGGGGATAATAAAGAAGATATAATAAATATGAATTCTAAAGATAGCAAGTTTCCTCCAAGTATCACTATTCTAAGGCATTTCTCAAGTAGTTACAGGGTTAAAAGGCAAACACAATAGGCTGCAAACCATGAATATAGCCATTTATGTGGCTGTCGCATGTAGTAATGAGCATTTAAACATAAAATATTAATATAATATTAGCATAACTTACGAAGAAACTCTACAGAGTCAACCATTCTGTTTGATGATAATTTTAACACTGTGTTATTACTGAAATTGTATTTTTCAGCTGCCAAAGATTAGGATCAACTGACCTATGAAAAAGTATCAGTGGATCTGGACTTGAAACAGAAGTCACTTGTTGAAACTTTTCAAATAAGAGAGAAAGAAAGAGAGATAGAGACAGAGTGGATAATACGAAAGAAACCTGGCCTATGTCTGAATCAAACCTTCCCACTTGCTTGCTAATATTTTCTGAAAAGCAAAGAAAGTATTTGCAAAGGAAAAGAAGAAGATTGATTGTCCAAATAATTCAAGAATTGGTCCTAAACTATGAGTCATGACACCTGTATTTTAAGTTATTGGCTGTGGCTGTAACTCAGTTGATGACTTGAACAAGTCACATCAAGCCTTAATTTCCAGGCTATAAATGGGTATAGTCATAAGTGACCCCTACTTACCTGTTTGTGTAGCTGAATAGATGACTAGGATATGCCTGTTAAATGCTCTAAGCCTCTGCTCAAAGGCTCCCATATAGGTGTCATTACTTCATTGGCGGTGATTTTGGAGACTGTGAGCTTTGAAAGTGGTGAGTTTGAGTCCCCTAAAGGGGCAGACTCATTTTGTCAAAGGTGCCAACAATAGATGCAGTCAGCAATTTCTTGGGTTTACCTGGCCAGCCAAAGAATGAGATCAACTGACCTACAAAAAAATATCAGAAGATTTGGACTTATAAGAAAAAGAAGAAACATGCTGAGAGTCTGCAAATCAGAGAGAAAGAAAAAAGAGACAGAAAGAAAAGAAAAAAATTTGTGGGTGAAAATAACTATAATCACTTTTTAAACTTGGTAGCTGGGTAATACGATTTGAATCTGTGTCCCCACCAAATCTCATGTCTAATTGTAATCTCCAGTGTTGGAGGTGGGGACTGGTGAGAGGTGATTAGATCATGAGGGCAGGGCTCTCATGAATGGTTTAGCCCCATCCCCTCTGTGCTGCTCCCATGATAGTGAGTGAGTAACTTCTCAGGAGATCTGGATGTTTTAAAAATGGGTAACACCTCCTTCACTTTCTCTCTTACTTTTTCTCTGTCCATGTAAGACATGCCTGCCTCCCTTTCACCTTCAGCCATGGTTGTAAGTTTGCTGAGGCCTCCCCAGAAGCTGGGCAGATGGCCAACATCATGCTTCCTGTACAGCCTGCAGAACTGTGAGCCAGTTAAACCTCTTTTCTTTATAAATTACCCAGTCTCAGGTATTTCTGTGTAGCAATGTGAAAACAACTAATACGCTGGGTTACATCAGGCACTGGGCTAGCTACTCATTAATTGTCTGCACATTCATGATCTTAGTAATATTTCTATCTAGCACAGAGTAGGCCCTCAATAAACATTAGTTGCATAAACAACTCCTTGTGGCAAGTCCTGTTACAATCATTTTATTTATGAATGTGAGAAACAAGACTGAGGGCAATTAAATAACCTGCTCAAAGTCAACTGCTGTTAGGTGTGAGGAGGGGCCCAGATTTACATCTGGACCACAATGCCAAGTTCCTACATGGTTCCTCTAACTTCCCTGCCTCCACTTTCCTTCCCTATTATCACTGTGTCACCAGCGACCCTTACAGTTCCTGGGCTATGTAATTTTTCTTCATTGTTGGCTGTCATTTGACTCTGTTTTTCCAGATCCTGAGAATTCATCCCCCACTTCTCTTTTTGGGGGAGAAAGGTGGATGGTGCTGTTTATACTCTTCCCCACCTTGGAAGTCAACATATGTATTATCCAGATTTGATACATATCAGAAATCTACTCTAAATAGAATGCTCTTTACATCCAGCATTGGGGGCTCTTGTCAAACAACTGGCAGGAACCAAGTCAGGTCTTTGACATTCATATGGGGGAAGAACCCACAACATTCTTTCTGCTTTATTAATGTAAGTTTATAAATTGTTGGTAAAAACCTAAAGAAATGCAAGGCCAGATTAAATGATTCACTCAGTCAATTGGCATTTGTTAAATATTAATTTTTTAATGTATCAGGTGCTCTTCCAGGTGTTGAAGAGATACAAAGACCAATAATAAAGCATAAATCCTGGCCTCAAAGAGCTCATAGTCTATTTGGGAGGCACATAGAGTTGCTGTTCACTCTTAGAAGATTCTATATTTGTGATATTGCCTACTCGTTAAAATTTATTCATAACCCCAAAATCTATACTCTTATTGATTTTGTGATCTCTAGACATGCACCAAGCATGAAACACTTGAGGCACCCAGACATGCATGTTCCAAGCTGAGGTCCAACAAGACCGTGTTCTGCCTTCCTGTTTCAGCTTTCATACAGTGTCCTTTTTGTGATCTATTTAGTGCTACACTTCTTTCACATTTTTGTACTTGTTGACAGTGATTTCACCATTTAAAATGACCTCTGGGGGCAAGGCATGGTGGTGCACGCCTGTAATCCCAGCACTTTGGGACGCCGAGGTGGGCGGATCACAACGTCAAGAGATCGAGACCATCCTGGCCAACATGGTGAAACCGCGTCTCTACTAGAAATAGAAAAAAGTTAGCTGGGCATGGTGGTGCACACCTGTAGTCCCAGTTACTCTGGAGCCTGAGGCAGTAGAATCGCTTGAACCTGGGAGGCAGAGATTGCAGTGAGCCGAGATCACACCACTGCACTCCAGCCTGGCAACAGAGTGAGACTCCATCTTAAAAAAAAAGACCTCTGAGCACAGTGCTGAAGTGTCATCTAGTGTTTCTAAGCACAAGAAGGCTGTGAAGTTCCTTACAGAGAAAATACATGTGTTAAATAAACTTCGTTCAGGCATGAGTTATAGGGCTGTTGACCATGAGTTCAATATTAATGAGTCAATATTGTACATTAAATAAAGTATCTTTAAACAGAAACACACATAAAGCAAGGTTATGTGTTGATTAGTTGACAAATATGTGACCAAAGCCTTGCAGGAACTTAACCCTACATTTCCCCAAGAAGCTATCGCTCAGCATTTATTCAGTGTTTAAGATGACTTTATAGAATATAGCTACTGCACATAAAAAGAATCAACTGTTTAGAAACTTATCCAATCATCACAGCTTGGTGAGTGCTCCTGTAGACGTGTGAGTGCTATTCTTTGGAAGCGCACAGGAAAGATCAATCGACTTGGTCTTGGAGAGTTGAAGGAGTCATTATAGAGGGGTTGCTTTTGAATCAGGTTTCAAAATAATGAGTAGAAACTCAAAGAATGGACCAAGTGGAAAGGTCATTCAAGACAGTGGCGAATCGTGTGCAGAGGAAGGAAGGTCTGAAAGAGCCTGACATGCTCAGTGATTAAAAAGCAAGTAAAGTCAGAGTGCTTAAGTCGTGTGCTCCAACTCAGCCACAGGCAAGGGTTTCCAGCCATTACAAAGTTTCTCTACACAGTTTGGGCTGTGATTTTTGCAACAAGGAAGTGTGCTTCATGTCAGCTGTGAAAATTGGCTCAATGTTCATAATCAAATCTATTATGCTCCCTCTGAAGCCTAGTCCATGTTTCCGTAGAAACCCCTAGTTACATAAAGGGGCCCCGGCCAGCAATTGGCAAGAAAACCCACCACCTTTGTAAGACATTATAGTAATGCCAGGGAGAAAACATTATATAATTTCTGCTGGAGATTAGTGGGCTTGGAGGGCAAAAATAAAGATTCATTCCTTGCAGAGCAGTAAGCAGAGAGCACTACAGGGCCTCATGACACAGGATCCCTCCGTCTCCCTGCCATGTCCTTATCTATGAATTAACCCACTAGCCAGTGGGTTAATAAGCACTTTAACACAGTTTGTAATGAGCACTTCCTACATGCTCAGTCCAATTCAAGGCACCACGAGGCCACAAACACACACACACACACACAACACTTCACATATTTTTTCTTTCACAGCTACAAAGCAGTTTATAATAGCCTTCACATCACCCTTCTTAGGTAGATTTTATTACTCCAATTTTATGGAAGAGGAAACAAAAACACCAAATGATAAAGTATCCAGTGAGTGGCAGAATTAGGATTTATGTTTGGCTTTGACTTCAAATCTATGGTTTCATCTGTGTCTCGGGAAAAAAAAAAAAAAGTCCCTGTCCTTGAGAAGCTTGTGCATGTGAAAAGTCCTGCATGCCACTCCTGAGAAACAGCTGTCACAAGTGATGTGTCAGAGGAGTAAGTGGCTCAGACTGTCAATTTTATAGAAATATTCAGAGGACAGAAGTTTGAGCCCAAAGTATCACACTGTCTCCAAGGCGCATCACTAGCATCGGAAGAAATAATTTTTGGTAGCTGAGATGGCAGAGGTAGGTATGTCAGCAAAAGTCCAGAAGCAGAAAGGATCCTTTGAAGAGACAAGGGAGTCAGGTGGTAAAGGGAAGTTGCTGAGGGATTTAGAGAGAATGTTTCACATGCCCTTGGATACGTCTCAGTGGGTGGAGAGGAGCCCTGGATAGAATCAACCTTCTGGGGCTTACCATTTTCACTGCTGCCTTCTCTTCTTTCTCCATTCACTGTTGCTAAGGACCTTAACCTATCGTCAGGCTCCTTATTCGGGGCTCTGGTTAAGGCCACTCAGTCCCCAGGAGCTCCCAGGATCAAGTGCAGATTCTCAGGCTGTTGTTCTAGCTCTCCACTCTCTGTCCCACGTTGTGGGATCCCCCTGGTACGCTGGCCACCCCGGACCACTTTTCACCCAGGCCTCCACTTTGTCTCTCTACTTGGAGTGTCTTTGTCCGCATTTCCTGCCTATTGAAGTCTAACTTCCCACGTCATATTTTAGCTTAAAAATGCGCTTTTCAAGAATCTGCTCTCAGTTTCCCCCAATCACAAAGAATTCTTTCTTTTCCTGGGTCCACACAGCAAATATCTCTGTTAGTCTTTTTCCACAGGCAGCCTGCCTGTGTCCTCCTCAAGACCAGGGAACTGTGTCCTTATTCCATTACTTAGCACAGTGCCTGGCACTTTGTCCATGCTTCATCAATCTCTTTTAAAAAAGAAATACATGAAAAAGATGTCCTTGAAACTAGCACAGCTCAGTATACATTTACTTTAATTAAGATATTAAGGTTCATCTTAGCACACATATTGTGAGTGACAACCATCTGAAATTCAGTCTCAACTTACCTGCCTCCTAAATGGCAGTTTAATTTCACTATAATCTTTATGATAATAACCTTTAAACTTGTTATTAGTATTACTGATAAAGTTAAAAGACTTTCATCTGGTAATTTTGTCTTAGGAAACATTCAATTATTAAATTCCACACTGATCATTAGAAAACCCTATTATTTCATAATGGGCTGGGCAATACCATGCAGGTATCCCTCGATTATTGAAACAGAAGCCATCTCTAAGTGTGTGGAAGTGAAATCTCATGCATCAAATAGTCTACTCACAAACTTGAGCTGTATTAGTAGAGACAGATGGGTGTAAAGTGAAAAGTCCTCTCATGGTCTGAAATGATAGTGTTTTATGGGGATGAATGGTGTTTGTGGCTGATTAGTCCTCACTCTTCCCAAAACCTGGCCAAACTCAAGGTGGACAGATTAAGCCAGAAAATTTTAGGGGTGTGTGTATGTGTGTGTGTGTGTGTGTGTGTGTGTGTGTGTGTGTGTAGTAGACATGGTTTACCTCATGGCAAGAAGGCTTTTCTCATAGAGCCACTCACAGATAAAACACCTTTGCCAGACGGCTGCGGTGGTTCACGCTTGTAATCCCAGCACTTTGGGAGGCCAAAGTGGGTGGATCACGAGGTCAAGAGTTCAAGACTAGCCTGACCAAGATGGTGAAACCCCGTCTCTACTAAAAATACAAAAATTAGCCGGATGTGGTGGCAGGCGCCTGTAGTCCCAGCTACTCTGGAGGCTGAGGCAGGAGAATTGCTTGAACCCCGGGGGATGGAGGTTGCAGTGAGCCGAGATCACACCACTCCACTCCAGCCTGAGCTACAGAGTGAGACTCTGTCTCAAAAAACAAAAACAAAAAAAACACCTTTGCAGGAATTGACAACAGAGGCTGGTCTAGGGCATGGGGAAAACTCAAAAAGAGAACGGGAAAGTGTTTCTTCTGGTCCTAAGGACCCCTTCCAAGTGGGAAAATATTTCACTCTAACTAGACAGTGCCTTCCTGCCCTCTGTGAATTTTTGCCAAAAAACAGACCAAGAGCCTCTGTGGGCAGTTCAGGAGAGCCTTTCAGAGTGCAAAGGAAGCTTGGGCAACAAGTCCTCCCAGGGGAAACACCCTGGATCTCAGAAAGGAGAGGGGCCTGAACACCTTCTCCTGATGCTTCCCGCCTCCTCTGATCCCAGCCCACACAGGGCCCCAACCCATGCAGCTTCGGGCACGTACCTTGGCACACTATGGGGATTTAACACATGTTTCATGATGTTCTGGCTGATGGACTGGGAAAGGAAGCACCCGAAGCCGGGGTCCCCAGGAGCTCTCCCTCCCCTCAACAGGAGCTCTGACTCACAACCTGTTTGGCACTGCTGAGTCCTCTCCGGTTTCCTGAATCTCCCTCTCTCTAATGCAAAAAGCCTCCATGGCAGATGTTTTAGAACAATGATCACGTCAATGACGCTGTAACCCACTACTTTCTTTTTGCATCATAGAATTTTTTAAGTGTTTTTGCAGACTTACTCTTTAAGGTTAATTACATGTTTTGGATTGAGCCTTTGGGAAGACTTTACAGTGGTCCTATCGGATAACTGCGGGCCCCAAGGCTGGAGATCTGTTAATAGGGTGGGCAGAAAGGGACTGGGAGCGAGACTGGGTTCAGAATCTCAAGTAATTTGGAGTGTGCCTAGGGATTGGGATGATTTGGCTGGGCATTAATTTGAAGGTGAATATGCGTCTAGAGATTGCGGGGATTTCTTTTTCTTGGAGGGCAACCGTGGGTGTGGAGGAATTTGGTGTGCAGAAACAGAAAGGTCTGGTTCGGGCTTCCTCTGGGAAGGCAAGGCCAAGTGGCCAAGGCTGAGAAGGGGCAGGGGCGACCGTGCTGGGGCGGGTCCGCACCAGCTCCTGGGAGCAGAGAGCAGAGCCGGGCAAAGAGATGGGGTTGTCCAGGCTAGGGTGAGGACGCGGCCGGTGACAGCGCGGGTGGGGATCCCCCGGGGCCGGGGCGGGGCGGCTGCCGCGAGCCGGGCTGGGGGCGGGGCGGGGCGGGGAGGGACGGGGAGGGGCGGGGCGGGGCTCCGAGGCCGTCTCGCAGGCTGCGGCGGCCGCGGGAGAGGCGTACTCGGCGGCGGCGGAGCGGGCGGCAGAGCAGGGCGGCGGCGACTCGGTGAGCGCGGCGCGGCTGGGGGCGCGGCAGGGGCGCGGGCGGGGGTCTGCGGGCGCGGGGCTCGGCCTGCACGGGGCACCGCGGGGCACCGCGAGGCGGGGCGGGCGCCTCCCTGCCATCCTTCTCCTCCCGGACGCCCCTGCAGCCTTTGGGAGGGAGGGAGAGCGGAGGACACCGTCCGGGAGCCCTTCTCTAGCGATCGCCGGACAGAGGTCCGGCTTTGTGCCCCGTTGCCCTCTTTCTGAGAGGGCTGCCTCCTGATTGTGTTCCTTTCCCAGACCACCCTCCCTCGTCCCTCACTCACTTACCCCCCACCCCAGGTATCATAAGCTCCATTCTTGCAGGGGACCCCTAACACTCCCCTTCCCACCACCCGAGGCCCCGGGGTCCTGGGTACTCTCTACAGCCCCAAAGGGAGGGATGGCCCCCTCCCCAGCCCCTGCACACCTGGACCCTTCTGTTGCCACCTGCCACAGACGTTCTTAGCCAGCCAGAAAGCTGCTGTGCCTAGGACCCAGCACACCTTGCCGTCACCCTCTCTCCTCCCCCAGAACCCAGAACCCCAGTTTGGCAAAAGGCACTTTTCCAATACTGAGCTTTGGGAACAATTTGACCCACTTCCCAAAATGCTGGTCCCAGGCCAGCCATGCTTTTTGGTGGAGACACCTGTCTTGTCTGCCAGGAGACATTCTCTGTCAAAATGGGCCAGCCCGTCCCTGGGTCCTCCTCCAAGCTGCTCCTACTCGCTAGCCAGTGTCCCCAGAGACCAGGGCCAAGATCTTTGTCATTTAAGGCCTCCAAAGCTATTTCCCCACGCATCCCCAGAATTCCCCCAGCCACTGTTTTGGGGGTGCCAGGTCCAGAACTGATGGAGCAATCTTTCTGTGTCCAGGGCCTGATGTCCTCTCCCACACCCTTGTTTACCCGCCTGCTCCCCAGGGAACCCAAGACAGGGTCATGGGGCTGGAGTTTAGGGCCCTGATCTCCCCTGAAGCTCTGTGACCCTCCTTTTCTCCCTGTTAGAAACTTTCCTCTCTGTCACCAGTCACTATCTCCTCTGGATGGGACCTGGGCCATCTGCACAGTGTCGAGTCCCCAGGGCACAGAATGCTGATCTGGGACCCTGGAAGGCTGGGACTTGTGCTGGGGCAGCAGGAGGAGAGTGGCTGCTAGCCAGGTCTGGGCTTGGGTACCAGAGTTCTTTGGGTGGATCATTGTCGGCTTTCACTGATCTCTGGTTGGGGTTCGAGGGCTTGCTTTGCAGTGGAGACAGGAGGCAGAGCAGGGGCTGTTTTTCCTGCGTGCTTCTGACTGTCTTGTGTTGCTATGGTGACAGTTTTGCCTGTCTTCCTCCTTCTGACTCTTCTGGGAGCTGGTTTTTATTGGTCCGTTGTCCTGTCTTTCATGGCTCTAATTTCTCCTTTCTACTTGCTCTGAAATAAACAGTCATAAACATGGGCGCTGGGCCCAGGCTGGGGGCTGGCAGAACTTCACCTCCTGCTGGCCCTGGGTTCCTGTGAGGGGAGAGTGGGAAAGCGAGGTGGAAACAGACCTGCCCACATTCCCTCCTGCCTCTGGGCTCTGGCTCTGGGAAGGGGGCAGCAGCAGCATCACGGGCTTGGGCACATAGTGGGCGCATACTGCCTCAGTGCTAAAAATAGATACCAAATGTGGCAAAGGACCTCACTGGTGTTATTTCCTTTCATCTTCACAATAGCCCCATGGGGCAGGGGCTCTTTCCACTTTGCAGATGAGGAAACTAAGCTCAGAGCAAGTGAGTTATTTCCCTAAGGTCACATTGATTTGAGCACACAGTCAGCCCTCAGTTTTGGTTCAATGAATGGAAAAGTGATGAAGCTGACATACACGCATCTCTGTTGGGCTCCCTGGTCCTGTCCGAGGGATCACAGGGACTTCCTTAGTCCAGCTGCCTAAACCCACACTATAGGAGGCTCTTTAGAAGGTGTCTCCACTTTTCCTGTCCCTGCTGGACTACTGTGGAGGGAGCTGCCAGGAAGCTGTCTGGAGTGTCCCAAGTGTACCCTTGACCTGAACTGTTGAGGACCCCAGCTGAGAGCAGAGCAAAGCCACTTGTGACTTCCTGTTTTTACTCAGCACCAAGAAGAATTCAGTTTGCATTTGCTCCCAGGCCTAGATGCAACTAGATAAGTCAGGGACCCAGAGTCAAGTAGACCCTCCCAAGCCAGCCCTGGGCAAGGAGTTCATAGCTCCCCAGGGCCATAGGGGCACCCACTGTCAGCTGTCAGTGACCCTCTCCAGTGAGGCTGTTCCTTCCCTTCCCTGGTGTTTTTTTCTTCAGTACACGCTCTTCTTTTCCATTCCCTGCCAGTCCCTTCACATTGCCATGCTCTAGGTTTGTTAAAAATAAGCTGAGCACGTATTATGGTAGCACAAAAAGACCAGAGAATCAGCAGCCTCAGTGTCAAATGTTGGTCCTGAGAAAGTCAGTTCACTCATATAGCCTCAGTTTCTCCATCTTTAAAATGGGGTTGACAGCATCTATCCTACTGGCCACATTTTCTTGTTCTTTTAGGATGGCATAGAATAGCCTACCGGGAATGCTTTGAACACTTTGAAAGGCTGAAGGACCCATAATGTCCTAGTTCTATTGGGAGATCTCAATCTTAAAGACAGCCCTGGACCACTGTCCAGAGATTGAAAACTAATTTAGGCATAATTAAGCTATAAAATCTCAGGGTTAGAGGCATCCTCCAGGGGCATTTTGCCCAGCCTTGATGTTGAATCCTCTAACTTATTTATGTATCTTACATTTATTGAGTATCTGCTTTGTACCAAATACAGTTTTGGGAACTAGGGGTTCGAAAAATGAGCAGCATTTCTGTTTTCAAAAAAAAATTTAGTCATGGAAAAAGATCCTTATAATACAGTTAGACAGGTGGTATGATAAAAGGAAGGGCAGGCTGATGTAGGGCCCAGAGGTGGCCACTTGACTAGGTCACCCATGAGGGTTGAATCAGGTGATTTGTGCTTTGGGGCTGAAATACATTTGTCCTTCCACTGTCCACTTGAGGAGCAATGGAGTGATGGTTGGAGAGCCACACATCAGCCCTTGTGAGCAGGGTAGGGGAGAGAAGCATGGCAGGGAGCCAGGACTGCCTTTCTTACTGAGTTTTGACTCATCCTCTCGTAGAAGTCTCCGGTTCCAACTTCATCATGGTTAGAATCTTGTCTCAGGAGCTGCATGAATTACCTGACAAGACATCATGGTGATTAGAAAGAAAGTGGTCTTAAGAGTCAGGCATGAGTTCAAACTCCACTACTGCTTTGTCTTAACTGTGGTTGAAGGTGCATCTAACCTCTCTGGGTCTCAATTCTTACATCTGAGAAATTGCAGTAATTATACTTGCCTTCTAAGATTTAAATGATCTTATGTATTTAAAGGGTCTGGCATGGTGCCCACTTCACAGTAGACTTGCTGTTATTTAGTTATATTGATTAGAAAAGCGTTCTCAGTTACTGGACCTCTGGGTCCCCTTAAAACCATGGTACAAAGCTCTTTGGATGAATTCTAGCCTTTGGAGATCCATTCATTATCTGAGAAGGTTAAAAATTGCCCATGCTCAGGCTCCTAGCACTGCTGGTTAATTTTCAAATTATTGCTCACTAGATAAGCTATGTTCTACAATACCACAACAATGCACGAATCACCAACACTCTTTTTTTCAAAGGAGAACAAATTTGAAGTGGCAGCAAACACCCTGAGTTTTAGAAACATATTCTATCTGTGAGAATACTTTAAAATGAATGCCTCGTATTTTTTATTCTGAGCATGTTGAACTTCTTTTTTTTAAGTTACTATAAACATTAATATACATTTTTCTCAATTATCAGTACAATTCTATGACATTAGTATTATTGTCCCCATTTTACAGTTAAGAAAATGGGGAAAGGTAAAGTCCCTTGCCTCGTGTCTAGAAGCTAGGAAGTGGCAGGACCAGAATTTAAAGCTAGGTTCTGCTTGCTCTTTGTGCCGTAGTACACAGCATTGTCGTTTCCTTGGCTGGCGTGTCAGTGACCTAAAATAATTGTGTTTGGAGAATGCAGGCAGATTTTAACAGGGGTGGAACCAGTCAGTGTTGTAACTCAGTCTCTTAGTAAATATTTAGAGAGTTTATTAGGATTTTGCTGTCACCACAGCCTTAAGAATTGCTTCTGCAGTTGGCTGGGATGTTATTTCTATAAGTGATGAATAGAAGAGGAGTTTGACACATCTGAGTTAAAGGAAAATGTTTGATGATGCTAGAAGTAGCTTCCTTTGCACAAGAATGGATTGCTGATTTGTCACTGAAATAAACTGAACCTTTAAGCAGGCCAAGATTTTATGATTGAACTTATGAATGGAAAGCATAACAGTTGCTTTCCAGGGATACAGAGACAGGAGAAACAAGGTCAGAACATATGGATGGATGGCTCTTCAGATACAAAGGTGACTTGGATTCAGTTTATTTATTTTTTCTTTTTTTGAGACAGGGTCTTGCTCTGTCACCCAGGCTACAGTGCAGGGGTGCCATCATGGCTCACTGCAGCCTCAACCTCCTCAGCTCAAGTAATCCTCCCACCCCAGCCTCCTGAGTAGCTGGGACCACAGGTGTGCACCACCAAGATCTTTTCACTTTTTGTAGAGGTGGGGTTTCGCCATGTTGCCCAGGCTGGTCTTGAACTCCTGGGCTCAAGCAGTCCTTCCGCTTTGGCCTCCCAAAGTGCTGGGATTCAGTCTGTCAGTACAGCTATCACCTAGGAAGCTGGAGGTATTGAAAAGCAGTTACAGAATTGCTCATTAGCCTTTCTTGGGTAATTTGGAAGCCTAATTTCCCTGGCCTAAGAATCCCATTTCCCCCACGAATCCAGGTGCTGAGAATGGGTGCCATGTTTCCCAGCAGTGTGTTTACCAGGTCCAGCTTAGCGCTGCAGACAGATGTGTTTCTATTTGCAATTATCTCAGGGCCTGAGTCTGGTGTCTGCTTATTTAATGACTTCACTTTCTAATAAAAATTCTGTATGGCATAGATAATTAGATTTTTTAAATGAAACTGGGGAAATGGAGTGCCCCAAAGGGTTTAATTGCAGTTTTACGATGGATCAAGCATAAAAATGAGATTATTCATTTGACAAATATGTACGGGGTGGGTTCTTGCTCTGTGTTGTGCTAGGATACAGTGATCAATATGACATTACCCCTGCCCTCAAGTAGCTCTCCCTCCATGGGAGAATCAGGGGAGGAAACACATGGCCCAGTGGAGCCTGGCCAGTGTTTTACAAAGTGCAGTGTGCTGAGGGAAGAGGGAAGTATTGTTTTGACTCTTACTTCAATAGAGTCAATTTCCCTCCACATGGGCGCTCTCTGTGGACCACCTGAATTACACCTGATGTTGCATAGAGAGGGAGCACGAAACAGAAACACGCTTGTCCTGGAAGGCTGCCCACCTAAGCTCAGCTGTCAGCTGCAGTCCTTACTTCCTCGTAAGGGAAGAGCAGATCTCTGTGCTTCAGTTTCACTGTTGGTGAAATGGGAAGACTGGATTTGATGACTTGAAAGTGCCTTTCCACATCTAGCCTGATGATTCTAATAAGCTCTTGGACTCATTTCCTCTAGTGACAGGTGAAGAGGCAAAACCTAGCCGTTTTAGTTAGCAGGGTTGCCAAGAGAGAGCTGGGATGCAGAGAACCAAGTGTGTTTTCAAGGAATCCTCTCAAGGAGGCGAGAAGCCCTGTTTTCCTTCCCAGAAAGGGAGCCACTTTCTGGCTGAGCATCCTGATAAAAGGCTGATGACAGTGGGAAGAGACAAGCAGAGACACAGGAGTGGCACAGAGGGACCAGCTTACTCCCATATTCCAGAGCCTTCACCACAGTGAATGCAGAAGAAGGTTGACCTCACAGATGCCTTGGTTACTGCAATGTGCTCTTCTGTTTTAAGTTAATGTTGCTTTTTAAAAATCATTATTTGGTTTGATGATTCCTGAGTTTCAAAATTAAATGCACAATCATTTTTCGATCATGAGGAACAATGAGTGACAAGCTCTTATCCCAACACTCTTCAAGTTCTCTCATTCGCATTGGCAACCAGATGCAGGCCTTTCCAGCCACGGTGATGAGGCTGGCTCCCAGTCACCTCATGTGAGAAGCTTCATGCTGTGGTTGGGGCAAGAGCAAGTGGAGAGTCCAAGAAGACCCGGGGTCTTGTAGTCACGCTGCCCACTTACAAGCAGCCTGGGCTTTGACAAGCTGTCGATCTCCTGAGTCTTGTGTTCCTACTGAGCCATGTAGGGTATTGTCAGCAGGACAATGATAAACATTTTGTACCCACTTTTAGCAATCTTCTGAAGAACGTTTGAAACAGATATTATCCCCATTTTATGGATGGGCGAATGGAAGTCCAGAGGTGTTAAGGAATTTGCAGAATGTCACCTCATTAGAAAAGTGGCATAGCTGGTATCTGAAACCACATCTGTGTGCCTTCAAAGCCTGATCTCTCTGTATCACCCACACTATAAACAAGAGCTGTGCATATGTGAGGAGCATGGAGTTAATTAGCATGTGTCTTGGGTAGAACACTCATCTCAAAGAGCTGGTGAGTTTCTGCTAGCCAGAGGAGCCTCCATACCTTAGAACTGAATGAAATATAGCTTGTGTTTCAAGTGCTTCCCTGTGACTGGTGTGTCTGTGTTTGGCTGACGTCCTTCAGGGTGTCCTTTGCTCAGCCCACCTCCACGGAGGATGCCACACAGAAATAATGAGCTGAGCCTGCACTGAGTGCAGTATATGGCCTTGTTGAGCTGTGGATCGCTCCCAGTTGAGGCAGGTGGTATCCAACTTACTTCTCAGGCCCTTCCTTGGTACAGCTTGCAGTCATGGGAAGGAACACAAGATAACTATGTTCTCAGCTTACAGAGTGACAGGCATGCATGCTGATGAACACCCCTGCTCTTTCTCCTCTATTCCACAGAAACTGGGGGATTAGATAGCTAGGTAGATGGATGGAATGAAGAGAAAAGAAAAGGAAGAGAAAAGGAAGGGTGGAAGGAAAAGAAAAGAAAAAAAGGAAAGGAAAGAAAGGGAAAGACAGGAAAAGAGGAAGAAAGAGAAACTGAGACCAGTGGCTTTTCCAAGGCTGAGACAAGAACTCAGCTACCACAGCTCTCTGAAATCCAGACAAGTGACATCTGCTCCTTGAAGTTCTGGAGCAAGTGTTTGGAAGCAAACAGACCTGGGTTGGATGGAATCTTGGCCCTTTCCTTGGGCAAATTCCTTAAGCTTGCTAAGTTTTCCAGTTTGTGAACTAAAGTTAATAATGTTTGTGTCTCAGGAATATTGTGAGGAATATGTGAATTAAATATACATCCATCTTCCTTCTGGCCTGACCTTTGAATAAAATTTGTTTGTAAAGTTTTTGCTACGTCCTCTAGGTTCCTCTTTATTTGTTTCTCTGGGTGGGAAATGACGTGAAACTTGTCCTTTCTCTGACAACACATTCCTGAATTGTCCCTGAAAAAGCCCCACATAGTCAACCCCTCTAGACTTCTGTTTCTAGCTTTCGAGCTTTCAATTTATGCCTGAAGTGAACCTAGCCACATTATTTCCTAGATTGTAACAAGGATAATGATTCTCATCAGCATCAAGCACTGTACATGCACTATATGATCAATCTCCTTATCCTAAGTCTTTTTCTTATTTTTTAAACATGTATTTTTTTTCTGGAGTCTTGCAGTTTTAAATCCAGGTCCTTGAATACCTTCAGAATTAATAAATGGGGTCATAAGCTATTTTTTGACACATACACATTCGCTTATTTTTAAGTCCAAAATCCAAAAAGCTCTGAAAATGGGAAGTTTATTTCATCATGCATTTGAAAGCAAAAGCTGGCCCAGAGACTCTATAACTTTTATGTATTACACTCAAGATGAATGAGGTTTTCAGCAGAAAGATAAGTGTCCCAGACCCTGCTGGGCATGTATGTAATACATGGCTTATGCACTCTTTACCTTTCTAAAAGACATTTCTGAATTTGGAAGCACATCTGAGCAAAGAGTCTCAAAGAAGGTTTTGTGGATCTTGCAGAAAGCCTAAAAGAACTGACTGTGTCGGCAAAGTCCAGATGACACAAGTGAATATCCTACCTTTGGATATTAGAGGGTATGGTGACATGGCCCATCTCATGCTTATCAAAAGCATTAGTGGCCATTTTTATATTTTCTCAATTAACTGAATTAAATGACCATGCTTGGCACAAAAACAAAACAACAGCCAAAAAAAAAAAAACAACAAAAAACATCAAAAAACATGGGCTCTCAAATTTCACTGGGACAAAGTCATTTTAAAAAAAATTTCCTGAGAAGTAAAAATAAGCTGGGAATTTTTTATTGAGTGTGGCTTATAATTAAGTTTTGGTTTTGGCCTTGGAGGGGGATGGCAGAGGGAATTTTTAAATCTTACTCATCATTTTGCCCATGTGAGGAAGAGCCAGGGCTGAAAGAGTGAGCATGGGGAAGTGAAAAGCCTCAGCCGAGCGTGAGAACATTTTGGTTCTTATTTTGGGTCTGTTCTTTGGTTGTAAAGTGAGCTTGAGCTTGTCACTTCTCTTCCTTGGCCCCTAGGAACTGAGTTTCTAAGTAAATGACTTCTTCCTTTGTCTCTCTGAGAATTAAGACATGGAGGCTAGGACGTCAAAAGAGGAGGAGAGTGGGAAGCACTGAGCTGTCTGTCTGGCTGTACTGGTAACTTCTGCCAGCCCCAGGCTGACCTCTGGAGGGATGTAGAAAGTTTCCCTGTGCTCTCTGCTGGGTTCCCTCTCGGGTCTTCCTTTACTTCTTCCACAGCTCTAGTGTTTCTGTGCCTTTGGCTGGTTGCCTCAGATGTATTTTGGCCCTGGTGACTCGACTGCCATTCACGCCACTGACGCTCACGAGGTCTCACTGGCTGCTTGACCAAGCATGGCCATTGGCAGTGGCCCTAATGGCAACGGCCATTCCAGCAATTGCTCTGCATTTCTCTCCTGTTTTCTCTTTCTTTATGTCTTTGTCTTTTGAGTTTATTATTAATGCATCATAATTCTGACATTTTCCAGATCAAAAGATTAACATTTCTTTCAGAATCTGATGATGTTTAAAAATCAGCAGCTCCTCCTCTCTGAGGACCCACTGTGTCCTTCTGGAGGAGGGTCTCACCCACTCACAACCAGTGATAGCCATGTAGCTTCCACCACGGAGGAGTGACCTTAACTTCCAGGATCCTGAAGGCCTTTGGTTTGCATAGACTATTGGAGCCACTAGGGAGCTGTAAATATGGTTCACATCAGCGCACATGGAGAATAGGGTGCCTCTGGGGATGGCTGGCCCTTAGAAACTAGAGAGGCCTGGACTTGTGAGTGTATAAGTATGATGTGTGTGGTTTGAATGGATGTGTGTGGTTGGAATATATGTGTGTTTATGTGTGGCTTGTGAGTGGGTGTGTGGGTGTGGATATGTGGATGTGTATAGCTGTGTGTGTATAGGTATGTGTGAGTGTGGGTATGTGTGTGTGCAGTTTGTGAGTGGGTGTGTGGGGGTGAATATGTGGATGTGTACAGGTGTATGTGTAAGCGTGTACATGTGCATTGGGGGAATCCTTTTCATTCCAAGGAAGAGCTGCAGAGGGCAGGAATCTGCCAGGCACTCTCTGGACAAGGCTCTGCCCTGGCCTTTGTGTAGCTCACAGGTGGAACTGACTACTCAGATGCCCCTGCAAGCCAAGGGACCTTTTGTCTTTCAAGGACCGGTAACCACCAAGAAAGGCAATTCTGACATTAACTGGCAGAAAGCAACTGAATTACATTTCTTAGGGAGAAATATCCAATTCTGCTGCTTCAGAAACATAGAACCCTGTAAATCTTATGCTACACATTTTTAAAACACCCAAATCATTTGCATATGCGACTTTAGAAATAAAAATAAGTGAAAGAAAAACCCAATTCAGGTTTAAAAAAAAAAGACCAAGAATGCATTCAATTTTATGTAATAGTCAGTTGGGGAAAGTAGGAAAAAGATTATGAAAGAGAAAAGAAAGGGAGGGAGCAGGAGAAGCTGTGCTGCAGCTGTCTGAGCCCCTGCGTGATCAGGCCGTGCTCCAGTTGCCGCACATTTACAACTCCTTCAGGTTCAAGTTCTTTAGGGTCAAGCCCAAGCAGGGCTTAGCAGAGTTGAGACACTGGATGTGAGGGAGAACGAACAGAAGAGAATGTGAAATATTGTTGCAGTTTTGCTTACCAAACTGCGGAGGATCAGGAAGACCATGTGGGCAGTGGAGTGAGCACTGTCCAAGGAGTCCCCTGGGTATAAGCCTAGCTCTGCCACTGACCTTCTGCCTAACTTGTTGTAAGCCTCCTCCCCTCCCTGAGCCTCAGTTCCTCCATTTTTAACAAGTATGTTTGACTAGATGAAGTCTAAAGCCATTCCTGGGTTGGTGAGGCAAGCCCACACACTAGGCCCCACACCCCAAGCCCAGAGGCATTCTCAAGATGGAAGAGGAGATTGTTCAGCTCTGGCCTGCAATTACTGAAGCAAAGAGCCCTCTTCCCCATGGGTCTGAATTGGGGTTTCCTCTTTCATCACTTGGGGCGAGCGAGTGAGCTTGTACGGGTGTGGATGGAGTGCTAAGTGCATATCTCCTGTTTTTTCTCCCTTTAAAACATCTGTGTGTCAAGGCCTCGTCCCTCTTTCTCCCTTTCACACTACATGCTCAACCTGCTAGTAAGGTCATAGGTTGTGTAAATTTATCTGTTAAACCTCAGATTCAGGAAATAGATTGAGTAGCTCATAGAAACTAAAATAGCTACAGTGTGATCACTATTTGTGGTATATGAATGTGAGTTATTTTTTTCTAACCAGTGACTTATAGCTTGCCCAGTCCAGTCATGACCCTTAATTTTTCATAGTATTCCCAAATTTTTAATTATGTTAACAACAGTGAATTATGCTATTCAGTATACATTTAGCACCTATTAATTCTAACTATTTGGATAGTATTTTTGTATACATTTTTTCATCCCACAGACACCTTCTAAGGTGATATTTTCATTTCTTTTTTAAAGATAAAGACAATGAAGCTAAGAAGGTTTTTTTTAAAATTTGCTTTAAGACATAGGACTGAAAAGGGCTGAAAATGGGGCACCAGGATTTGGTTGAAGTCGGCCTGGCTCTAAAACTTCTACACGTTTCCATACCACACAGCTCGCACTGCTTCCAGGCCACAATTTTATTTTTTTTTAAAGAAAATAAAATCCTTTTTCCTGCCATGACTGGAGTCTCTTAAGCCTCAGAAAATATGATCATAGCTTGATTTCTTTGCCTTTTTCCAGAATGGAGTCCCATGGCACGCCCTACCTTAATGTAAATTTCATGCAAATAGTATATGGTATTTCTACTTAACAAACTTTGACCATGTATTCCCAAAGTGCCAGACAGTTTTCTGGATACTTCCAGATGTGTCATTCGATGGAAGAAGAAGTTGTGCTTTTTATTTTATAGAGAGCAAAACCAAGACTCGGAGAGATGCAAACATTTTGGCTTGCTTGGTGAATCAGTGATTCACAGGCTGCAGTTTTATAGAGCGCTTGGGGTTTTGCCTTGCCCTGGAACAGAAACACTCCTTGTTGAACCAGGAGATCAAGCTGACCCACCAGCTCCCACCTCACAGGGCTGGGCTTCCCCAGTATCTGTCTGCTGGTCATAACTCAATCTGCTGGCTGTGGAGAAAGGCAACTTCCTCTTGTCTCTTCCCATGTTGTTTCAGCCTGCCCCACTACTGGCTCAGTTTAGCTCACCCAAAGTCCATTTTCAGTTTCATGGCTCATCATAGACTTGCAAATACTATGCGTTAGCTTCGTATTACAGAAGAGAAAATGGTAATGTGATTTACGCAGGATCACACATGAGCTACATCCTGTTTTCAAAATGCCCTTTCTTTGCCTGGACAGACCCTTTGAGATTCGCTTCTGGTGTAACATTCGCCATAAACCTTCCCCAGGTCCCCGTCAAATTCATCCGTCCATCTGTCCATCTACTTATTCAACAGATACTTATTGAGCACCTACAATGAGTTGTGCACTTCTCTGGGTCTGTTTCTGGGGATTCAGCAGTAAACCAAACACACAAACTCCCTAACCCATGGAGCTTATATTTTGTTGGGGAAAGATGGACCATAAACATATAAACAAGTAAAATGTATATCATGTTAGATGGTGGTAAGTTCCATGAAGGAAAATGAAGCAGAGATGGGTATACAGAAGGATGGGTGGATGACAGCAAGTTTGGGGAAAGAGTTGCTATTTTAAATAGGGTTGTCAGAGAAGGTGAGGATTGAGTGAAGGCCTGAAGGACGTAAAATAATCATTGTGGATAATTGGGGGAAACTGTTCCAGTCTGAGCCTCAGCGAGGGCCAAACCAGAGTGGAGTGTGTCTGGCCAGATGAAGAAACTGCAGGGAGGCCAGGGCCAGAGCTGAGTGGACAAGTGACCGGTTGCAGGCCATGGGGTCATGGAGACATCACAGGCCAGCCTGTGATTTCAAGGCCCTCCTGGCACTCCCTCTGACCCAGGATGTTTTTGCTGTCTGCAGTTCACTGGCCTGTTCTCATGCTGGCCTGTGCACCATGCAGGACAGGCCCAGGCTTGTCTTCAATCTTCACATCCCCAGCACATAGCAAAGGGTCTGGGATAGAAAGAGAGCCCAGCTTTTATGAAGACTTCTGCTCCTATTTATTTTTTTAAGTCCAAGAGTCCTAGTTAAATATTATTTGTGATTTTTTTAAATAAACATTGGAACTTTGAAGAAATGCTGGCTGTAAATCCCCATTAACCAGCTGGACAAGCATCACATGGGCAGGATTGCTAAGGAAAGGATAAGGTGCCAGGAGAAAGCTGGAAGTGAAAGCTGTGGAGAGGAGAGTGTTAATTGGAGTCCAGAGGAAGAGGGCTTCTTCAGAATCCCCGGGGATTAACTGCTCATCCGATCCCTGCTGGGGACTGGTGTTTATAAAAACTGACCGAAGGCTGGAACAGGGAAGCTCTCGAGAAACCCTCAAAGTGTGTCAGGATTTCAGCCAAGACTTTCCACTCTCCACTTTGCTGACGCAGAGGGTGGCAGGGGGTAGCAGGGGGAGTCTGTGGGACCCGGAAGACTTCATCTCTGGAGACCTTTCCAGAAGGAAAAGAACCTCCCCTGGCAGGGCCTTTCCCTTTACAGAGCAAAATGCTCATCTCAGAGGAGCTTGAATTTCTTCAAATGCAGGGAAAAATCCTAGCAAATATAATAGGGTATACGGCAAGGGGAGAGAGGATGGCTAAGAAAAGCATTTGGCCCCAGTGAGGCTCAGGGACCTCTGGAGGCTGCCAGCTCCCACCTCGTATCCTCTGCCCATCTGAATCCTGCTCCTCAGGACAAAAAGTGGCTTATAGCAACTTGTAGCAACTTAGAGCAGGTGGGACAAGTAGCTCATAGGGTTAGAGTGTGAGGGGGGTAGGTAAGAGCTCACTGAAGACGGAAGCTAGAGGACATCCTGAAGCTGTGGGAAGATGTTAGGGAATTTTCACAAAGGAATGATAGAAATGGATTTCCAACCAGAAGTATGTGTGGGTGTCAAAGGATGGACCCCATAGTTACAAAGTTGTGGAGTGTTCATTAACGAGAGCTGGGGAGGGAAGATTGCTTTCAGCTGCTGGATCAGGTAGTAGGTTTGCTTAAAAATATTAAAAAGGGAAAAAGCAAAGACTTGCCTTTTCCTTATTCAAAAACTGTTTTTTGAGAACTGACTGTGCTTAGGTGCTGGGGTTGTTCTGACAGATAAACCCCTTCCTCATGGAACCCATTCCAAGCAGCCTCCTTGAAGAACCTTATCTGAAGGTACTTGACATAAGATGACTGGAATTTCCTGCATTCAACTGCATATTACAAGTTTTTAAAATGGGGAAATTAAAAAAAAAATTCACGGCACCTGATATTAAAATAATAAAAAGTTAATTCTTGGTCTGCCAATGACCTGCTCAAAGTGAGTGGACAGCCTCCCTGGGTCTTCATCTCCTCATCCTCCAGTGGAGCTAATCTTCCTTCCTGCCTCCTTTTCAGGAATATTTTGAAGACAACAAGCTTTGAAAACAAGTTGAAAGCTCTGTATAAATTGCAGGGCGTGACTCACATGCCTGTGCGGGACCCATGTTCACAAGGTGCTACCTGGTGAGAGGTTTTGGATGAAGGATAGAGTCTGTTCACAGATCAATTTTTATCAACTTTACTTCTCCAGGTTTGTCTGCAACTGTTTAGGGATTTTTTCCAGCTGTCAGAAATACTTTTCCTGATTTTATATTAGTATTTGGCTTCTGCACTGCAGTGCGGTGCTTTACAAACATGCACACGTATATGTTTACCTAATTTTTCTAGGATGATAATTTAATGTAGTTGATATGACAGTATAAGAAGGCAAAGGCCAGGATTGTTGCTCCAGGTACGAGGAGGCTTGAAAACAGCATCTGTGGGTATACAGGAGTGGGAGGTGTTAGAAGTCAGCCTAGCTTGGGTCAGGGTAGGAAACCAAAGGTGTGAATTGTCATGAAAAGCCACATGCAAGGTGCCAACCCTCCCAGACCCCCCAGAAATAGCTGTTGAAAATTGGGCTTTCTGGTAAAAAGATCAGCTGCTGCAGAACGCCTTCCATACATGTCAGCAAGTGGGGCCGGATAGCATAGAGCGAGCCTGAAATGCGTCTAAATAAATGATTATGGTGACTCACTCGCCCCCGTTGAATGGAATGTTTTTTTAAAGTGAAAGTAAGAGAGAAAGAAGATAATAAAGCAAAGAAAAAGAACAATAAGGTTTGAATTTAAAACAACAGGAGCAAAAAATTGAATTAGTCACTCATGTCAAAGCCTGTGAGCCTCTGTCCTGAATTGCTACCTTCCTCCTTGACTTGCCTTAAGGTCACGGTCTTTCTGTTTGAATTTCCTGGTGAAATAACACACCCTCTGATTGTTGCCATTCCCGGTGCCGGTTGCAGGCATGTAATGGGCATTCTGAGATACTTGTCACAGAGCCACTACAGAGCTTGTCTGTTGAGCTCAGAAGGCCTTTCCATGGCCAGAGAGGAGCATCCAGTCTCTCTGAGATGTTTAGGGTTGCTTTGTGGAGCCTCTGAGTGTGAGAGCTGGGGCTGCCAGCCCATGAAGCTTAACGGAGAAGGTTCTGCATTTGTTCTATTGTAGGCCTCTTGGTCTGTTGTTGCATCATCCCTGATATCAGGAACTGGCCCAGAGACCAATGAAACCTTTATGATTTGCTAGTGTTTTAATCGATCTGCAGTTTGCAGAGATTTTTATATTGAAGTGAGTCAGTCTTGTTTTATACTATATACTCATTCAGCTGAGTATATAGCTTTGCTCCTCTTTTTGGTTGATTTCTGGGCCATTGCTTAACCACTCTTACGTCTTAGGGATGTCATCCATAAAATTGACATAATTTCGTCTCAGCAGACCCCAACATAATACCTGTGAATATAAAATTATTTAATCTGGAAAAATGTGGAGTATGTCACTTTTGCTGCAGTCAGAAATAACCCCCAAATCTCAGTGGCTGATGGCGACGACTGTCTTGCTGTGCCACGTGTCAGGGGCTGCAGGTTGGCTTCTGTGGCACTGGTGTACATTTCTTCTCATTCTGGAACCTGGGCTGAGGGGGTGTGTGCTTCTTGGAATGTGTCATGCTCATGACAGAAGCGATCGAGCAAGGTGGCAGAAACTTGAGACTCTTGTTGAAACTTCTACTGGGATGTGGCTTTCTTTATTCTATTTTCACTCCATTTGGTAAACAAGGCAAATGTCCAAGTCCTATACCAATTGTAACCTCCTCCCAGGGAGGGGAAGTGGTACATCCAAGTCATCTGGCAACCAGCAGGATGGTACTGTACAACCGTGCTCTGTACTGTATAACTGTCCCCTGTACTGTATAACCATGCCCTGTACTGTACAACCGTGCCCTGTGCTGTATAGCCATCCCCTGTACTGTACAACTGTGTCCTGTACTGTACAACTGTGTCCTGTACTGTAACTGTTCCCTGTGCTGTACAATCATGCCCTGTACTGTACAACTGTCTCCTGTACTGTACAACCATGCCCTGTACTGTACAACCATCCACTGTACTGTATAAACATGCCCTGTATTACACAACTAACTGTCCTCTGTACTGTACAGCCATGCCCTGTGTACTGTACAGCCATGCCCTGTACTGTACAACTGTCCCCCATACTGTATAACCATGCCCTGTACTGTACAACTGTCCCCCATACTGTATAACCATGCCCTGTACTATACAACCATCCCCTGTACTGTACAACTGTCCCCTGTAGTGTACAACCGTCCCCTGTACTGTGCAACCATCCCCTGTGCTGTACATCCTTCCTCTGTACTGTAATCGTCCCTGGGAGAGAGACCATCCCTCTCCCAAGATATCAAAATCTGCAGAAGATCAAGTCCCTTATATAAAATGACATAGTATTTGCATATAACCTATGTATCTCCTCCTATATACTTTCAATAATCTCTAGATTACAATACCTAATACAATGTAAATGCTAAGTGAATAGTTGTTATACTATGTTGTTTTTTAAATTTTCATTATGCTTTATTGTTGTTATTTTTTTATTTTTTTTTCTGAGTATTTTCCAACCTGGTCGGTTGAATTCCAAGGATGTGGAACTGTGAATATGAAAGGCTGACTATAAAATCTTTTACAATTGAGGAAATAATGCAGTGTAACAAGTACATTGTAAGCTTATTAAACACGGTGTGAACATTATGTTCTTAGTAAAATAATATTTGACTGGATACTAAGAATGGAGCTTATGTCTGGTATCAATATTTATTGGGAAATATCACACTAGAATGTAGTGGTCTATGATGGAGGAAATTTTGTGTCACCCACCCCTACATTTTAAAAGCAAGGCCTAGACCCTCTTCTTGATATATAGTAGATATTCAGTACATACTAGTTGTTCTGAGTAAATTCATGAGATCACAGCTGCTCCAATAATCTGGGAACCCAAGACAGTAAAATATAAGCCAAGTCTCTGAAGTCTATTTAAGATTAGAAAACAGCAAAGCCAAATTTTCAGCTGCATGCTAGAGAGATAAACAGGTTTATCAATTTATTTCTTAAATTCAAGTGTAATCACATCCACAAAGCCTTTTGCTGAAATTCCCCTTTTGATGAAACTCGTGTCATCACATCAAATAACTCTAGTGGCACAGACTTAACTCAAGGTCCCCAGCATTGTTGATGGGCAGTGGCCTTGACAGGGACAGTATTGACATAGTGCTTTTGACCATTGTTGTGTCTTTCTTTGGGGCTGTCCCAAATGCTTACTATTCATTACATTCTTTTTTTTTTTTTTTGCTGTTGTCATTGTTGTTCCTACCCTGTCTTCCTGGGAGCAATGGTAGCCTCTTAAATTTACAAACAACCGAACCAAGGCAACAAGATGTGAGGGCAGGGCCAGGCTATGCAGTGGGTGTGGCAGAGACTCCACCCCCCTGGCTGAGTTTCTCTGAGATAGATAAAACCACCTGGGACACTTCTCCACTCACTAGCTGTGTGACTTTAGGCAAATTACTTAACCTTTCTGTGTCTCATTAGTCAGATTAATGGAATGAAGATAGTAATAGTAGCATTTTCTCTTAGGGGTGCTGTGAGGATTTAATGAGGTGATACATGTAAAGTGTTTACAGCCCGGGAGGTCAGGGGGATGAGATGAGCATCCTGGTTGGACAGGGCCGTGGGCCTCAAACTACTGTAGTGGTGGCTCCAACAGGAGCCTCTCAGAGTATTGCTCATTGGAAGCACAAAGGCCATTCACAGGGACACTGTCATTCACCTTGATATGAGTGGGTCAGGGAAGGCAGTCTGATTAGCAGACACCTGGAAGAAGTGTTTGAACTGCGGGGTTGTGGGGGCTGTGTGAGCCATGCCAGAATCTGAAGGAAAAATGTGGACTGTACAAGGCAGAGGAGAAAGAAAGTGGGGAGAGCCCAAGATGAGAGTGTGCTTTGCTAATTCAAAGAAAAGCAAGAGGTCAGTATGTATGGCTAGGAGTAAATGAAGACAGCAGTGATATGGTTCAGAGGGAGACTGGACCTGCAGGGCCTTGTAGTATGGGTTTTGATCAAGGAGAAAGGAAACTGGCACTTGCTGAGGACACATCGTGTGCTAAGCTCTGGGCTGGGTCTAATCTTTTTAATAATTCTGCAAGAGCAGCTGGTACAGATGAGAAAGAGGAGCTTACATTCTTGCGTATAATCAATCAGGTGGCTCACACATGGCAAAACCAGAATTTAGACAAGGTCTTTTGGATTTCAGAGCATACTCCAGACCTGCTTCAAATTTAGACATTTGTTAATTATCTAGTATTTGAATATACTTGTTTATTTCTTTGCTTCAAGTCAACTGAGATGATACAGGAAAGCTAAATTTCAACTCGCTAATTTGCATGAACACAATTAATGACTGTAAAAAATCTTTTTGGAAGGAAGATTGTACCAGATATGGTTTCATTGCTTGAGCAAATTAACACATCCCCTGTTACCTGGTATGCATTAATCTGGGTTCTTCAGATAAATAGAACCAATAGGAGATAGATACGGATACGGATATGGCTACAGATAGAAAGAGATTTATTTAAGTAATTAACCAACATGGTTATAGGGGCTCAGATGTCCCAAGATCTGCATCTGGCAAGCTGGAGACCCAGGAGAGCTGATCATATAGTTCCAGCCTAAGTCAGAAGGGCTGAGAACCAGGAGAGCTGATGGTATAAGTCTGGTTCAAGTCTGAATCCAAATGCAGGAGAGGACTCATCTTCTAGCTTAAAGACACAGAAGCAAAGAGAGAAAATCCCCCCCCTTTAATTCACCTTTTGTTCTATTCAGGCCTTCAAGGGATCTGTTGAGGCCCATCCATATTAAAGAGTGCCACCCACTTTACTCTTTCTACTGATTTAAATGTTAATTTCTTCCACAGATACCGTCACAGCAACAAACAGAATAATGTTTAACCAAATATCTGGGTACCCCATGCTCCAGTCAAGTTGATACATAAAATTAACCATCACAAATACCATTTTTTATGAATGTAAGTACAATTAAAGAAAATGTCAAGTCGCAACAAGGAGGCTCCCACACTGCACGTGGCTTCTCTGGTCTTGCAGGGAGGCCTGAGCTTGCCTGCCCCAGAGCCCCATTTTTCCTTGCACTGATCAGCTTCTCTAGATTCCTGAGACTTCTTTTGCCTATACAAGTTCTCTCCATTTTCAAAAGCTCTGCCTCATAGGACAACTAAACAGGCAGCATTCTTTAAGATAATCTTGATAAGGGATTTTCAAAATGTGCTATGTCATGGCTGCATGGAAAATGGTCATATTTGTACAGCACACAGAAGAAATGGATGAAGCTGCTTGTAGCCACAGGGTAGTGGCCTGGTGGGGGAGGATGAACTCTAGACATCTTGATTCTACCAACTGTCTCCTTAGACCACAAGTGTACCTTTGCTACATGGTTGGAAAAATCTGATTGAAATCAAGCCATCCATCTTATAGGTGGGAATACTGAGGCCCAGAGAGGGAAAGACTAGAGCTAGAGCCACCTCCTTTTCTCCTGGGACCTGCCTGTGCAGTTCTGGTCATACTGCATTGCCTGTCTGATCCTTTTCTGCCTCCTCATTTCTGAATTATTCATTGGGCATTTGTCACAAACTGTCAGGGACAGCTGACTTGTGTGGGTGTGTGCGTGTATAAGCACATATGATCTTTTCCCAATTAGATAATAAATCATCTGGGGACAGGGTCTTTTTCGTGTTCTCTTTCTTTTCTTATACCCTCCAAATTACCAGGCATATCAGGTCATACTTTTCTATGTATTAAAGTATAAATGAATAATCATCCATCATTAGCCTTTAAAATAAACTGTAGCATCCTCCTACTTCAAATGTCTTTTCTTCCAGAAAGTATTTGCTGATACCTAGCTGTCAATGATCTCTGGTTTGTCTCACCTTCCAAAGCATTTTCTTTGTGACATCGTAGAGCTTTTACTGCTTTCCACCTTATATTAGAGTCATAGGTAGAAATATCCCATCTCCTTTTCCAATGACGTGATCACCTTGAAGGTAGAATACATGTGGCTCGTGTAATACAGTGGTGTTTACTTCACAGGCATTCAATTCTAACTCCGCATTTTAAAATGTCTATTACATATCAGATACTGCACTAGCCGTGTCATTGCAGGAGCTCATTTAAACTCCACAGCGGCTATATAAGGTGCATATCCGCTTCGTTTTTATTATATAAGGAAGCTGATGCTCAAAGAGGGGAGGTACCTAGTTCCAGACTGAGTTGAAGCCAAACTTCTGGTTCCAAATGCCATACCTTTGTTTTAGCCCAGGATCGTTGCCTGCTTATCTTAGCAAATGTTTGTGGAATAAATATGCAAGCCAAGAATAGGTGAGTTAATTCATTTGAAGGCTAGCAAATGCTGAACATAAGTCATTTGTGGCTTTTGGAAATTGTTGTGAAAATACCTTTATACTGTAAAAAATGAAAAGAACGTTGATTCTCATGGATCACTTCTGCTCGCCTATGGATTGTCCCTGAAACATCTGCAAGTTCAATTGAAATATGACTTTCAGATGAAAGAATGCTATCACTGTCCCAAGGCTTTCTTTCCTGATTTGTACCAACATCAAAGTAGAAGTTTATACTTTTTCATTTTAATGGTAATCGGTTTCCTTAATAAGTCTTGTCTTTAAGAGGTAAATTCAATCAGCTGCCGTCTGCTATGAGACTGAGTGGTTGTGGCTCCGTGTGTGGGGGGTTGGTGGGGCAGGGCTGTCTTTATTTTTCTGCTCTATTTTCTTCTTATTTCCCTTAGCAATAATTGACCCCCTTGCATGTTAAAGACTCCCGCAAAGGTAGAAGAAGGAAGGCATGCGCAGTGATGCTGGAATCATCTTCCATGTGGTTATCTAAGTGTGGCCTCCAAGGAAGTTACTTCTAGAGCCCAGTTAATTTCTGACTTAATCAGAGCCCGGAAGCCCCAATCATGCTTCTGAATTTGGTAATGACAAGTGTCTTTGCAAACATCTAGGAAGAAAACAAGCTTAGAGGAAGCTTTGACAGACAACAGTAGTTAAGCCCCAGCAACAGTGTGACAGATGCCAGCTGGACAGTGTGATAGGCTCCTGCTCATGGGTGGACATGGCAAGGACTGTCCAGAGGAGAAATGGTCACCTGAGGCTGGAACACAACAAGGGCAGTCTTCCAGTATGACTAGGCACTGAAGTTTTCATGACTCAGCCCATCCACCAAAGGGACTGATCTTAAGAGTTTCAGTCTTAACCTCCCTGTGTGGTGGGACAGACACAGCAACTAATTGGGATGTGTGATTCACTCACATCGGCTCTCTACCTGGGGTCAAACCAGGCATTCAATTCTAACTTTGCATTTTAAAATGTCTGTTACATATCCAATACTGCACTAGCTGTGTCATTGCAGGAGCTCGTTTAAACTCCACAGCAGCTATATAAGGTGCATATCAGCTTCGTTTTATTATATAAGGAAACCGATGCTCAAAGAGGGGAGGTACCTAGTTCCAGACTGAGTTGAAGCTGAACCTCTGGCTTGGCAGCAGGGTAGAGAGCCCTGAGATGTTGGCACAGAGAGTTGAGGAGTGGCCTTTATTATGCCGAGGCCTGCAGGTAGATGAGCTTGATCTTCAGTCATCAGATACTTACGGAATGTCTGCAGGCACTGTGCTTGGCACTGGGGCTAATGATGGTTAATGCATTTTCTGCCCATAGGTGAAGCCTAGTGGAATGCTGTTTCTCAAAATATATTCTTTGATCATGGAACTTGTCCTAGCAGGAGATGCTCAGAAGGCATTCATTCATCTCTTCATTCATTGTACAAAGGCTCTAAAACACTATGTCTGGGTGGGCTCTAGGAACATAACAGTGGGCAACACTGATGTGAGCCTGGCCCTGGAAGCCTGCAGAGTGTCTGATTGTGGGCGAATACAGATAGAACTGGGGATATGATCTTTGTAATCATTTTAAAGGTGTGAATATATGTGTAATGCAAACAAAATTGAAGAGGGAACGTGTACACAATTATTAACCAACTTTAGTGTGTTTCATTTACATCGTGACTGTGTGTCTTAAAAGTTTATGTAAAAAGCATTGCTGCATATTGAAGTCTCTCAAAACTGTCCATGGCAGGTCTGGGCTCAGCAGTGCTTCTCTAGTGGCATCCTTTAATTTAGGCAGGCTTGTGCAACACTGTCCCATCTTGAAGTATTGAAGAAGACTGTATCTCCAGGCCCTGGCTCCTCAAGCTCCCCCTGCCTACAGGAGCCTTTCAGCTGCCTTTCTCTGTGGCTCAATGCCATTCATTGTTTAAGCTACGGTTCAAGGATGAACGACTAAAGTGATTCATTCCTGTATTTGACAGATATTTATTGAATGCCTACTTCATGCCAGGCATAGCTCTAGGCAGTAAGGATAAGACATATCAGTTAAGGAAAAAATGTAGATACTAAATAATAACTTTAATAATGTTAAAGTAACAATAATAATATTTTATTATGGTAATAACATTAAGAAAAAAGTACTAAAGTAATGTATTTATCTTATTTAGGTAATAATTATATTATTATATATAGTATACTATTATAAATAATAATAATAACTTTAAGGTAAGGTAATAAAGGAATATTTATTGCCTTCTAGTATATTAGAAGGTCAAAAGGTCAATGGGAAAAATGGAGCCGAACCAAGGAGATTATGGCTGTTGCAGGGAAGGCCATTGCAGTTGAAAAGGGCGGTCAGGATGGTTCTCATTGAGAAAATGACATTTGAGCAAAAACTATTAAAAGGTGAAGGAGTGAGCACACATATATCTGGGAGAAATGTATTCTAGGCAAAGAGAAAGGGCAGTGGAACTGACAGATTTGAGGACAAGCTAGGAGGCCAATGTGATGGACCTGATAGAACAAAGGAAGAAGAGTAGCTGTGGATGAGGTCGGCAAGGTCCTGGGGGTCCACCCTGAGTCTGATGAAGGGTGCTGCTGGAGAGCGTGTTCTAGCGGAGGGTCCCAGTGGGACTCACATTTTAGTGGCATCACTCTGGCCACTCTATGGCAAGAAAACAACAGGGTGTCAGGGGTGGAACTGGGGGACCCTGGCGGCAGCGTGTTCTTGATGGACTAGTATGGAAGGTATGCAGGGACGCTGGATATATTTTCAAGGTAAAGGCAAAAGAATTTTCTGAAAGATTGAATTTGGGGCGTGAAATAAAGAGGAGGCTCAGATGACTCACTGTTTTTGTCCTAGCAACTAGAAGGATGGAATTGTCATTAGCTGACATGAGAAATAATGTGGGTAGAGCAGGATTGGGAGGAAAGAGGAAGAGTTCTGTTTTGGGCCACGCTGAGTTTGAGTTAGGCATTGGAGTGTAGCTTCTGAGTAGACTGCTGGTTATTGCTGGCAAGGGAGAGGTCAAAGCTGGAAATATAAATATGGTATTTATCAAAATAGAGATGATATTTGAAGGTGTGAAACTAAGGCAAGATCACCAAAGGAGTGAGTCCTGATAAAGTAGAGAGGCTGAAGGGCCAAGTCCTGGGAAGTGCCAATATTAAGAATTTAGAAAAAGAGAAAGAGGCAACCAAAGAGACTGAAAAGGAGCACACATTGACTAGAAGGAAAATTAAGAGACCCTGACCTCCTAGAGATCAAGTAAATAAAGTCTTTCTAAAAGGGATGATAACTCAATTGTGTCAATTATTGCTAATGGGTTTAATAAAGATGAAGAGAGAGTTGACCATTGGCTTCAGCATCGTGGAGATCACCATGTCCTCTGCTCTCACCCCCAGCCCACCCAGCCTGCCTCCTTTGCATGCCATCATGGCATGATCTGCTTATGTTGCTGCATCTCCTGCAAAACATTTTTCTGTCTGCCATCCTGCAGGCACGCTCACTTGTGTGCTTATGCAACATTGGTGAGCACCTCCCATGTGCTAGATGGAATGAGTATGCAAAGTTAAACTTGGTATTTTTCTACCCTCAGATGTCTTACAGCCTAAGGAGAAAAGCAAGGTGTCTAGAATCTGTTACAGCAAAAGAAAGGGATTGAGGGATAGTAAAATTATGAGAGTTCAGAGGACAAAGAAATTTTCTCTGGGAGTCAAGGTTGAGTCCATGGCTGAAGTGGCCTTTAAATTCGGCCTTGAATGCTGGATAGGATTTAGAATTAAACAAATGGAGGAGAAAGAAGAATATTTTAGAAAAAGGGGCATATAGGAGTAAGGGCATGCAGGTGGGAAGGCTGGAAAGGGGACCCTGGGCTGAAGGCGTGGCATACGGAGGAGAAGGAAGAGCGGAGAATGAGGCTAGGATTTGGGCCAGGGACTCAATGAAGAGGGCCTTAGAAAATAGAAGCTGGGCTTTATTTCTTAGTCAGTGGAGGAATCATTAAAGGTTTTTGAGCCATAGAGTGATGCAATAATAGCCGTGCTGCTTTGGGAAGAGTCATCTGGCTGTGTGTGCAGAACTGTCCAGGAGAAAGATAATAAGGGCCTAAATTAGGGCAACAGAAGTGGGAGCAGAGGAGGGGGCGGATGTGAGGCACTGTAGGATCAGAGTTCACGGGCTCAGCACTCCAGAGGGATAGGCACATGGTGTGGATCTGGGTCCCTGGGCCCTCCCTGAGAAACTCGTCAGCCTTTTGAGGTCAGTGGCCTCGGCTGTCCCTTGTGCTTGTCATCCCCACCCCCACCCCATCCTCTTCCAAGCCCATGTGTGCTCAAGCTTCACCTCGTTAATGAAATGAAGCTGCTTATTTTTGGAACTCTGTGATTAACATAGTTTCTGTGTTTAGGAAACAAAAGAACCCTGTGCATTTCAGGACTCTCTACCTGCACTGTGTCCACCTAAAAAGGTGAGAGCTGACGCATCCAGGTCATCTCTGGCCTCCAATCTCTGATCTTCTGTTGCACCTGATCTGATCCAGTGCCTGCAGCATCACCAGTAATTTTGAGCAAAAGCAGCTCTGGAGGCCCAGAGAGGGCGATACACAGTGCCACCCAACCAGCAGCACCAGAGGAAAGGCCAAGCAACCAGATGGGGCTCTCCACTCTGCCTCCATAAATCTAGGCAGGCTGCCTGCCCATTTTCCCTAGAAAACCAGCCTAGTCGCTTGGCCAATTGTGCCAGAAGATGGAAGCCCTCTCAATGCCTTGTGGTTCTCCCAGTCCCCAGCCAGGGCCAGCTGGGGCATGGCAGGCTATGGCCCCCAATGGTATCATCACTGATTTCAGGAGGCTAGAACCCTAGCGCTGTGGGGGAGGGGCTGGCCTGCTGCCAGTCCCAGCATCCCAATTCCTATGGCAGTGCAGGGGGAAGAGCCTCTGTGGGGGCGAGGCTGGCTTCCTCCTGAATCTGCCCATAAAAGGATAAAAGTGCTGCTATCTAGTCGGCATTGGTAGGATTGCTGATGATAAATTTTTTAAAAGTGTGGATTTTTCCCCCTTTTTGCAAGGATGTGTGTGTGTGCGTGCAGGCGCATGCATGCGGGTGTGCCTGCATTCACACAGTTTGCAGCCTGTATGTGCTAACAGATGGATTCAGCCTCATCTTTTATCCGGTGTTACAGAAGATAAAACTGAAACTGGATGATATGCTGCCTCTTCAATTTAAAAGATAAAAAATAAAATAAAAAAGCTCTTAAAGGGAAGCCCTTATGGTGGAAAAGAGTGGTCCAAAATATTGTCAGGCTTTACTCAAAAGGCAAAGAACAGCAGAGCCATTCGAAAGTAATTTTTCTCCCTCCTCCCTCTCTGACTTATCCAAAATATATCATCTATGTGTCAGAAGTAGGGCAAGCTTTAAGGCTATTATGAATTATATATCAAGGGATATCATTTCCCAGGAGTCTTGAACAAATGCCCAATGGTTTAAATTTTACAGACACGCTCTTCCCCCCAGTGGCAGCAATTTCTGTCACTGCAGTCTTCCTGAGATGGAATGGGAAAGTGTTTTGCAAAATGCACAATGGGACGTTATGCTAATAAAGGTAATTGTGCAGTGGTTGGAAACCATTCCTTCCTGAAAGAGGCTTTTATCCTCCACAGACTGCCCCACACTGCAGGTACTTAGGCAGCAGGCTGCTTCCACTGGTCTTGCCTTCTTTTAGCTGGAGTCAAATACATCCAGGGTGAGGGCAGATTGAAAGAGGGAAACTGAAATCAACTGGGCATTTCTGTGCCCATCGTGTAAGACAAAGACCTTGCCATTTCATCTGAATATCAGATATTCTTTGCCTATCTATTTATTATTCTCTAAGATTCAGGAAGAGCTTTGTGAAAGTCATTCTTTTATCTAAAATTGGAAACATACATTCATTGGCGAAATAAGAAAGGTGGGTTTGAGGGTCTTGGTATTTTGCTTCCTTACCGCTATTGGATGGATCAGAAAGTTAGCCCAGAACATGGGAGACGAGGACGAGCGATTACCAGAGTGCATTGCTGGGCAGGGCCTTCCAGACAGTAACAGCGACAGCTGCAGGAAGTGGCTTTCTCCGCTCCATGCTTCATACTCTCCCTCCCAATTTATTCTTTTGAAGTGGATATTTTAAAGTTCTGAGATTTTCTGTATGCAGCCTTGAGAGAATCCAGATATAATTATTTATGTAAGTTTGTCGTTTTCTTAATCTTTAATAATTATTTATTAATTATCTCACTTTATTCTTATAACACTTTTGAGATATGGAGGGCACATCATGTTTTTCCCATTTTAGAGAGAAAATAATTGAAGGCTTGGTGAAGTCACTTGAGTAAGGGCACTACTGCCAGAGTAGTGATATTACATAGATACAGATATAGATCTACACACACAACACTCCACACTCACACGATATAAAATACAAACCTGACAATAGCACCCTGTCTCTGCAAAATAATAAAAGGTAAAACCCTACGTTCAAAATGCAGATTCCTTTACAAGTATTTGCTAGGCCCTCTGTGGTCCGCCCAGCCCCTGCCTCATGTGCGGTGCAAGCCTCCCTCCCAGTCCAACCCATCAATTTCTTATGCTCCAGCCACACCCCTTCATGCAGAGTTCCTCACATGAGGAGGTTTGTCACTTGTTCATTTTCAAGGCCCGTGCTCTGTGCCTGAACACCCTATTCCTACTTCACATCCTCACAGCATCCCTTAGTGGTGCATGGAATTCACACTCTGATTAGGCCCCAGCCCCTCCAGGAAGCTTTTCCCGGCCAGATCCCATCACACAGGTGGAGTCCGGTGCCCACCACGGATGCTTCCACACCAGCCTGTGCAACTGCCACACTGTACTTAATCGTCATTTCCTGTGTTTATATTTCCTGGAAGCTTACGGGCTGTTAGCAAACAAGATGGAGGTACCATACCTTGTTCTCTGAATCTTCATCCCCAGGGGTGGAAGAAATTCAGGAAACCAGTAACAGCCTGCAGGGTGGGCTCCAGTGAGATTCCTTCTCCTTCTTACTGCTCCTCTGTCTGAATGAACCTCAAAGGCTTTACCTAACAGGTAGGCTTCGGTAACTGTGTGCTATTCAGGTGTGTGGCTCCTTCCAAACCCCAAGATGAGGTCACAACTGCCACCCCACCCATCACCCCCCGTTACCCAGGCCCTCAGCACCACACTTAGCAGACATGTTAATGAAACATACTGATTTCCAGGGTCTGTGGCATCTGATTGGTCCCTAAGTGGACACAGTCCCTGGTGAAGGACACAGAGTTCAGGATCAGACACCCTTCTGCCATTGACTGGCTGTGTGATGTCAGAAAATTCACCTGAGCACTCTGGACCTTTGTCTCTGCATCAGTAAAATGAGAGTGGTAGATGCTACTTGAAGCTATTTTGTTAATGAGAGATTATTTTGTATAATGAAAGGTACATAAATCATATGCATAAGTATTTGCCATTATTAGCATAAAAAAATTCAAGTTTGCAATCCAATATATTAGGGGTTTGTTAATTAATAATATGTGGCAAAATTATTTTGTCATTACTGAAGAAGTCATTGGCTTAGTCAGTTCAGGATACTGTAACAGATTACATAGACTGGAGTACTTAAATAACAGAAATACATTTCTCACGGTTCTGGAGGCTGTGAAGTCCAAGATCAAGATGTGGGCAGACCTGGTGTCTGGTGAGGGCTGGCTTCCTGGCTTGCAGATGGCTGTTTCCTCATTGCATCCTCATATGGTGAAGAGAGAAAAACATCATCTCTGTTGTGTCTCTTTTGAGAAGGCCACTAATCTTATTCACAAAGCTCCATCCTCATGACCTGATTCTTCCCAAAGAATCTTCCCTCACCTCCAAATACCATTACATTGGGAATTTAGGCTCCAACCTATGAATTTAGGGGGATACAAACACTCAGTCCCTAGAAGTCATCTTGTTGCTGCTTTAGATATTACAACTTTTAAGTTAAAAAGAAAAGAGTTTGATGAGCACTGCAATCAAAGAAATCCATTAGCTGTTTGGCCAAACAGATTTCTTTATCTCACTCAGCCTGGGCATCACAAGATCCACTGTGCTGGGATGTGGATGTGAGGAATGAATGACAGAGGAGTGATGAAAGGGGCCAAACTCAGCCCAGGAGATAGCCAGCTCCTGGTGTGTGGGGGTTTTGGAAATTTCTTTTCTATTTTTTGTTGTTTGAAATGGGGTCTTGCTCTGTCACCCAGGCTGGAGTACAGAGGCATGATCATGGCTCACTGCAGCCTCAACTTCCCAGGCTCAGGTGATTCTGCCACCTCAGCCTTCCTAGTAGCTGGAACTACAGGCGCATGCCACCATGCCCAGCTAATGTTTTGTATTTCTTTCTTATTTTTTTTTTTGGCAAGGGGTTGGGGGAGAGATAGGATCTTACTACGTTGCCCAGGCAGGGGTAATTTCTTTCCCTGAAGTTGTCCTACTTCCAACCTGTGGCCCTAGGTCCCAGATGGATTGTAACCAGCTTGTCCGGAGTTCTGAGTAAGCCTTGCAGAGGGAGTGTAGAGACCTCAACAAAAACATTTTCTCTGAATAGATAGGTGACTCAGCACTGGACACCAAGAAAGCTGCATTTAGCTGAAAGTCAGTAAGAAACTCGGGACCGGGCCTGGGGCAGTTGGCCTCCTATCCTGGACCATGAGCTCCTCATTCACAAAGCAAGGGGCTGGGCAGAGAGTTGCCCAGGTGGCTTCCAGCTCTGGCATTCAGTGCATCTGAGTGAGTTGTCATTTATAGACCAGGAAGGGCGAAATTATCCCCATTAATCTGCTCACAGTTCTGGTGCTTGAGAAGCCACTGGGTCTTGCCACATCTCGAATTAGCTCTGGGCCCTTGGGCTTTTAATTAAAGGGCTTTGTGAGTCGGATGGTTTATGGTCAGATTCAGATCTTCAGGGAGACACAGAGGGAGGTCCTGTGTTCTGTCATCTGCTTGTTTAGAAATCAGCTGCCACTCTCAGTGTGAGAACTCAGAATCCGGAGTCTTGCAAGGGACTTCCAGCAACGGCTGTGGTTACACCTCACCCCCTACTTTCGCTGACTCCAGACCCCAGAGGCTGAGGGACAGTAGATATGCTGCCTGCCATTGCCTCTTTCCTTGTGCATGTCTGAGTGGTGCCAGCCTGATCAGATTCTGTTGCAGTTCCCCGTGCTTGCCACAATGTCGGTCGCGTTTCTTATCCAACGCTGTTTCTGCTTCTGGTGGTTTGTGCTAAATGCATTTTCAATCCCAAGTGGTACAGAGAAGAAAAGGATTGTCTTTAAAAAGTGGCTTTGAATGTGTCGAAAGCAAGGTTGCCTGCTGTGTGTTTTTGACAATTGCCTCCCCAGAGGAGCCTTTGAAAACCTCACTTTTCAAGACGCTTCAACTCCTATTAGAAAGTGACTTAAATAAAATTGCTCTTCTGACCATCGCGGCTCTGGATGCCAGGCTAGTGATTATTTGTCTAATCTGAGTCTCCAGGGCTAGAACTTCACACCGTGTCTTTTCACTACCCTCCCAGAGGAGGTGAGAGGAGGTGAATAGACACTTGTCAGATTCTTCTGCCTGGTGTCACTGTGGGGGGATGCACACACACTGGAGTATAGGCTTGCTAAAGAGAGACTGCATTGCTATTTCAACTAGACACGTTTACTTTTCCCGCAAATGATTACTGAGCACCTATGGTGTGCCCGGTACCATGTTAGGGCAAGAGATCTACCTCATCCTTGCATTGTAAACCTGTAGCATCCGTGGCAATGTTTTACACCACTGCCCTCCCAGGGTTCCTGCAAGCTGACTCCTTTTATTTTCCTTGTGCATGCTGATGTGTTCAAGGTATTTCAGTGGGCTACTGTGAGACTATCTCCCCATCAGGATCTCTCAACCTTGGCACTAGGAACATGTTGGGAAAAGTAGGTCTCTGTTAAGGGAGGAAGAGGGGCTTTCCTGTGCGTGATAGGATGCTTGGCAGCATCCCTGTCCAGTAGCACCACATCTACCTCAGTTGTGACAACCAAAAATGTCTGCAGACATTGTCAAATGTCTCCTCCCTATTTTACATTTACCAAAGTGCTCTTTATGTCCTTTACAGTTAAGGAAACTTAGGACCAGGAAGAAACTTGCTCAAGTCAAACAGTGAGTTGGCGGTAGAGCTTTAGCTACAATTTAAGTCTTGTCTTCCCAACCCAGTGTCCATCTTATGGATCCATTCAGTGGTTTGCTCCTAAATGCTTAATAACCAATTATCTGGGATAAACGAAAGCCAAACAAACTTGCTGGGAGCGTGGGACAATTTCCATGGTGTAAATACTTCCACCATGGCTGGTTTCAAGCTACTTCCATGGCGTCACTGAATGTGAAGTTGGGAAGGGATCTGTACAGTTGGATCTGGTGAGCTGGTGCCAGCCAGCTCAGAATGCCCCCAAGTCCATGTGTGCTGCTGATCACATATTAGTCTTGCTCTCCTCTGGACCTTGTTCTGCCACCCCCCAGACACATGCCCTTATCACTGTGATGTGCTGTGGGGAAAGCAGTCACCTGGTAAGAGTTTTTGATAACTTCTCTGGATAAACATAAAGCAGTTAGAGTGGAGTTATCCCCCTCTTCTGTTAAATGAAAGTTTCTTTTCACAGTCTTTCCATTGAAGGAATTAGAAAAGTCATGGGATACCTCTGGTCTTAGAGCAGAAATGAAGTTCCCCAGAAGGGGGTCCTGGACAGAATGGTCTCTTGGGCAGGGACTAGATGCTGTTACTTACCATCAGATGTGTCTACTGTAAGATGCTTGGGAGGCATCAAAGTGGTGACAGTGGGGGGCTGTTGGATTTTACCATTCTGGAATATAAGAGAAGGGGTGTGGCTGGTGTTTTAGTCCAGATAGCAGCTGTGACCACTGGGAGCCTCATTTTCCACACCTGCAAAAGGAGAAATAGTGATCCCCTTCCTAGTGTTGGTGTAAAGAGTAGATGAACCTCTGCCTGAGTCTCAGATGCCTGCTGCCCACTTGGTTGCTTAGTGGATCGGCTGGCTGTCAACAGTGTAAGCTTATCAAGCCTAAATACTTAGTTGGTCTTGACTTTTTCACCTCGACCATGACTCAGTGTCATGTGCTCCTAGTCATTCTGTCTGTGGTCCAACGTTAGCCTGGGAAGCACCTGGGACTGAGGGAAGAACCCTCAGCTAGTTATTCAGCGATCCAGGTTCTCCTCCTGCCTTTGATATCACCTCATTATATAACCTTGGGAAACACTTTGGTGTGACTGGAATGTGGATACTCCCAGGGGAAGGGTAGGAGCATGGTAGGGCATTTGGACTTTATCATGAAGGTGGTAGGAAATACTTGAAGGGTTTTAAGCAGGGATGACACATCATCAAATGTGTGTTTTGAAAACTTTTTTCTGCAGAGGACAGGGCCACAGCCCAAGCAGGATCAAACCAGTTAGGAGATTGATGTAACAGTCCCGTCAGAAAGTGATGAGGTAGCTGGGTGCGGTGGCTCATGCCTGTAATCCCAGCACCGTGGGAGGCTGAGACTGGCAGATAGTTTGAGACCAGCCCTTGGCAACATGGTGAAACCCCTTCTCTACAGAAAAAAAAAAAAAAAAAAAAAAAAAAAAAGCCAGGGATAGTGACCTGCACTTGTAATCCCAACTATTCGAGGTGGACATTGCAGTGAGCCAAGATCACGCCACTGAACTCCAGCCTGGGTGACAGAACGAGACCCTGTCTCAAAAATAAATAAATAAATAAATAAAAGTCATGAGACAACTCATAGGCACTAAATGCTGAGTGGCACAGACAGAAAGTTCTATGAGAGTTCAGCAAAGGGAGAGGTCAGTATGGATTGTGGTCTTAGGTGGGTATCAGAGAACACTTCAGGGAGGAAGTAAAACTCTGCTGCTGGCCTTGAAGGATGGTAGACAGGGTGGGGGGTGAAAGTCTAGGCTGCAAGGCAGGGCAAGAGGGTACAAAGCTGCAGTAAATCACATTTGGGCTTAAGCTGGGAGTTAACATAAAGGATGGCTCTAATTAGTATGCAGTCATTTATGGAAGAACTTGTACCCTCAGCTTAGGAATATGGATTTTATTAGAAGTGGTGGTTCTCACATGGAAACTGCATTTTCCTGTAGTCAGTTTCTGTGGGGAATCTTATCATTATCTATTCTTCTATCCGCTGCTCCCCTCATTGGGGTGGAGGGTGTGCACCCCCCTCCTGCAGCCCTGTGCTATTGGGGAAGGCAGAATCCCTTTGCATCTTGGGGACGAATGCAATGCTGAATACTGATCATATGACCCCTGCTTTGCCTCACAGCAGGGAGCCTAGGAACAAGAGCAGCTGTGCTATTGTCTGGAGCGCAATTGCCAGTGTTTGTCTGCCGAGGCCAGGGATGACCCTTGCCAGCATCATAGATAAGCCGGCTCCCAGCTGTCATGGGTGCATTCTCAATCATTCCTCATCCTATGGACTCTGACTCTCTCCCGCTTCCCAAGAATGATGGAAGTTTTTCATTTTCCCCCGTGCCTGCTTTGTGAAAGTGTGTCTGGCTCTTCCCACAAAGATGAAGGATGACCAACCTCAGAGTATCCAAATAAAATGAGATCTGTACTTTCTGTGAAGTGTTAGGAAACAGTTTGCTAGAAAATAGTATGAGCGATATATCATTGCCTCTGAGGCTCACATGAGGAAATTGAGGCTCATGAGTGTGTAATGACTCCCCTGAGGTGGCACAGACAGGAATTGGTAAGGTGGAAACTAGAAACCAGGCACCCTCTGAACTTCAGCATATTCCTGTTGGGTTTGAACAGGAGCATTCTATAGAAGAGGCTTCATTGTCAGGGTAGTTTTAGCAGAGGTTTGCCTGATAAGAACATGACTTTCTCAAATGTCAGTGTGTCTCCTAGGTTAAGCTCTTATAGAAACACTCCGCTGAAGGGCACTTCCAGGCATTGAGAGTCCCAAGACTGTTCAGCCACTGTGCATGGGGCAAGTCACTTGCCATGTGGAACTGGAACCCAGATCTCCTGCTTCTCAGCCCAGAGTGCTGTGCCTCCTAGCCGGCCTTATGGCATAAGTGGTCTCTACGGAACACCCAACAGAAGCCACCTGACAGTGTCCCTTGTAGATAGTGCTGCAGGCTGGGGCACTGGGAAGCTTTGAGGTGGTCTGTGGGACTCAGGGGGTGTTCGCCATGTGACACCATGTGGCCTTTGGGTACATGAGGGCTGTAGGTGTTCACAGGATATACCAGAGCATACCAGGATTGCTGGAAACTTGGACAACACATGACTGTAGCCAGACTGACTCTAGATTGTCCTCACTGCAGCGTGGCCATGGTACCATTGCTTAGTTTCTCACTCCAAGGCAGCGTTGGCCTAGAACCTCTGTAACATACCGTTACATCTGATAGTCAAGGTCAGCTTGGCCTCACTCATTTAGGGCAGTAGTATTTGCTGAAATTCAAATAGATACTAAATACTGCACTGGTCACTTTAAATGCTAGGTATCCCTAATGACCCTGGAATGAAGTTGTTATTCTCATTTTGCAGATAAGGCAACTAAGGCTTAGCTCCAAAGACCTGAGACTGAGGTTTATGATTGTTGGGCTTGAGTCCCCAGGCTCTTTCTACAGCCCCATCCTCCACTAATGCTTACTAAAGCATTTGGGATATCAGCTTACCATCCAGCTACAGATGAAATTTAGAAGCATCAGTATGTGTAAAGTCCTCCACAGCCTGACAACAGCCTCTTTTTCCACTCATCTACTCACTGTATCTCTGCCACCTCTTTCCTTCCTCCCCAGCTACGCTGGGCTATTCACTGCCCTCAGAGAAGCTGAAGTTTACAATTCAACCATCACCTCTTCTCATTTGTGCAGGGCTCTGGGCTAGTTACAATCATTTGTAAAGATGAATGAGACATGACCTCTCCTATTAAGTAACTTTCCACTCAATGGTGGAGATAAAACACGAACACAAATATAATAGCTCATTTGGTTTTCAAAGTAGTCCAAAGAGGCTTGCTGGTATATATCTCCATATGATCTGCATTTAACAGGTGTTGTATCTGAGGATCTGACAGTAGTGACTGACTAAAGGTCACACAGCCCAGCCAAGGCCAAGTTAGGGGTAGACCCGGGTCAAGACCAAGTCAAGGCAACCTCCTGGCTTGCATCACCTGGGGGTGGTCAGGCTCAGACTCCACAGCCCAGATTGTTGGTTTTTGTCTTATTGCTGCCTTCCTGATGGAGACAAGGCAGGCTGTCAGCCGCTGACATCTCAAACCTGCTTAAGGTGTGCCCCTTACCCCTCCCTAATGGTGATGCTCCTGTAGTTGGAGCCGTGGATGGGAAGAGGGGAGGTAAAAATGACCCTTTGTCTGACATCCAATTGTGCTGTTGCTTGGGGTTGTCTGAGAAGAGGAAGCTGGTCTCCTTGGGTTTCTAATGTGTCTCCCACTTCCTCACTCAAAGGAGACCTGGTGTAACTGACATTCTAAAATGCAGTCTCAAGGAGAAGGAACCCACCCCAGCGGTTGTGTTCAGGCAGTGCAATGTGAACTCATCGAAAAGCTTGGTGGAGTTTCCTGAATGCTGCAGCCAGTTTGGCAGGTGTTTTCCTGCCCTGAACATGGGTGCACTCACCTTAATGGCCATTCAGGTGTTACAAAGACCACAGAGAGATGTTAAACTACAGCCTTGGGAAATGGGACTAATGTGAGCCCAGGAGTAGAGATCTGGGCTCTTGTTCTGGTTCTGCTACCATTTGCCACTTGCAATTGCCTTCTCTGCCCCATGACTCATAAACACCACCTCTGAGGGTGGCCTGGGTCCTCTCCTTTGCTGTAGAGTACAGTGGTCAGGGCCCAGGTGGGGGTCCCTCAGATGTGAGTCCAAATGCGCACTTCGTTATCTACTCGCCATTAACCCAGAGCTCATCACTCAGCCTCTCTGAGTGACTGTCCAGCTCCTTATCTGTAAGATGTGGATAATAGGAGCACTGCCATTTCCAGCAAGAGTGGGGCGAGGGCTGGTAGAACATCCAGGTGATGTCTAGACCATGCCTGGCACACAGTCAATGCTCAGTGAATAAGGGTTGGTATCTTCTGCCCCATCACCATCATCACCGGCGTGTTGGCCTCTGACTGTCTAGGACTGCCTGAGCCACGGCCACTCCCAGTTAGTCACTATCTGGTCTCTGGGCTTCTTCCATGCTCGGCTTCCCACCATGGGAAGGCTGCATGCTGGGTGGCATCAGACAAATCCTTTCCTTTTCTAGGTCTTAAGCATCCCCCAGAATAACATTATAACATATAGTCATAATCACAGCTGTTGTGTGTTGAATGGTAACCCGTAAGAAGATAAGTGCATTCCCTAATTCCCACAACCTGTGCACATGGCCTAATTTGCAAAAAGGTCTATTTACCAAAAAATCATCACTTGCAGAAGCCCCTACACAAAACAGGTAAAAAATATCTCTATTCCTTTTATCACAGGATGAGGGCCCAGAGCCCTGCACGTCAGTGCCTCCAAGAGCCCTGCCAGTTTCTAGGGCTGCTAGGAGCTGGCAGGCTTCTCTGGGGCCTCTGAAAATCCCTGGCCTCGAGGTCCTATGATGCTCCATGATTAAACATACGCCAGAAACGGTCTCTTCAGAGAACAGACAAATGCCCTCTGCTTTCTCATTAGCTCTGCACTTTACCTGTATTGATGGGAGAGTTTGTTAAGAGTGATTTCCTGGCTTCAAAAGAACAGCAGATTCTTCCTTCCTCTTGTCAGAGATTCCTAAGAAGGCAGATTCTTAGGGAAAGAGTAAAACAAAAACGAGCTTTAAACACCACCTCCTTCCCCACTAGGCCCAGTCAGGGGAAAAGGGAGGATCTCTCACCAGGTTAGAGCTGCTCACTCCCACGCATGATGGGTGCCTGCTGGCAGCAGAAAAAGGCCAGGCCTTGTCTTAGAGATGCGCCTGTCCCCTGAGGACCCCAGGTCTGTGTCCTCCCAGTAGACTGCGGTTTCTCCAGCAGGTCCAGTAGTGGTGGCAGCTGTATTCCCGTGCTGGTTTCCCATCTGCTTGTCTCAGGCTGTCCTCAATGGGACAGCCACAGAGTCCTCACTCTTGAGGGACAGGCTGCTTATCAGAACAGCTGGGTATTAGGGTTCCGGGGCTTCCAGGGCACAAGGAACCCACCAGTCTTTTAAAATACACTGTTTGAATTAGTGACACCCTGCCTTCTCAAACCATAACATGACTGCTTTATAACCAAGTGGCATCAGCCTGTTTATCTATAAGGCCAACAAGCTCCGTGAATTCAGAAGACAGGCAGGTGAACACAGGGAGAGTGGATTATTTGGAAAGAGTATTTGTGTGGATTGGGAAGCAAGGCATTGCCCAGAAGGGTCCTCTACCAACACAACTGGACATAAAAATAACCAGCCTGTGGGAGTGTGGATTGTATTCGGGTGACTGCATGTTCTTACATGCCTAGGACAGTCCTGGTGTCTGCCTGTTGTCCCAGCAATATTATTAAAAGGGCCCCCTTTCACTCTCAGAGGTATCCTCGTTTGGATGATAAACCATTAAATCACCCCAACTGTATGACTGTGTATATAAAAGTGGTTAGCAGCACTTAGTGTGGATGTGTAGCGTAGGGAGTATGTGGAAGTAAACGCCTGTGCCCATGTGCTCTGACAGCCCAGAAGCTGGCTGTGGGTTAGCACAGCTGCACAGTTGTGGGTAAGTCACTTAACCATTTCACAGCACACACGGCTTTGAGGTGAGATCAGGGGCCTCACAGTCCGATAAATGGTGGTTCAGATCCTTTCTCATAGCCTGCTAGCTTTGACCTTTATAGAATTACTTAGCTTTCCTCAACTGCAAATTAAGAATAATCATATGGACCTCTCAGAGTTGGTATCATTTTTACATAATCTATATACACATCTAGAATATTTCCTGACAAATCATAACCTGCCAACAAATGGTGGCTGTTGTTGTTGTTATTATTCTAGGGCTGTGACTGTTTTTGGCTTTAGCTCTTCATTGTAGAAATGGTGAGAGATGACCCCTGTCTTTCCTGGCTTCCCAGGCATCATGAGGCTGAAACCCAGTGGCATCCCCGAAGCCTGGTGTCCCGGGCATGTGTGCACTGCTGGTGCTGGGGATGCAGAAAGGGAACCGCCTGCCTGCCCGCCCAGCTGCTCCATCTCTCTGGGACATAGGAATTGGCTTTCCAAGGCATCATCCCCTCCACCCATCTCAGGCCCTGCCTTCATCCCCTCCCTGGCCCAGCCATGCTGTATAAACACCAACACCAGGATGTCATTTACTGGTGTTGCCTGACATTGGTCGGCTGCTACCCAGAGGGCACTAGGTACCAAATTCCTAATTCTGCCTGCACAGCAGCTGTCAGTCTTTCCTGCCTGGAGAGTCTCCTATCTTCCTTCTCTCCTTTTGAAGGAAGGTGTCATCTGTTCCTAGTGTATTTGCTTTATTCTCTTTCTTTCCACTATTTGGCTTTGCAGAATTTGAGCCAGACTGCTTAAGTTCACACCTTGACTCTATCACTCAAAAGCTAAATCCCATGGACAAGTGACTTAATCATTTTGTGCCTCAGTTACCTCTTCTGTAAAAGGGGACAATAATAATGCCTACCTAGTTTGGTTGCCATGAGGTTTCAGGGAGTCACTACATGTACAGTGCTAAACAAAGCCCAACACACAGTAAGTACTTGATCAGTGTTAGCTATTTTTATTATCCAAACACCTGCCCCTTCTGGTTTCTCAGTGTTGCTCTGTGCTTCTGGCATTGAGGGACTCAGTCTAAGCTCTGCTGCTGGTGAACTGTGGGCACAAGCATGCCCCACCCTGGGCTTTGGGTCCCTTGATTGCCCACCCCGGAGGGTGGGGACACAGTCTTTGGGGCCCTTTCGGCCTCCCGTAGTGGATATTGCCTTCCCTTCAGTTGTTGTGCCTTGCTTTTCTATTTCCAGAGCCATTCAGAAGGGGAAGGCAGCAGCCGTTTGAAGCTCTTCCCTAGCCCTCCCCTGAATGGGGTGGGGTGGGACAGGACATGGGGAAAGGTCGCTAGACTGGAAGACAGGAGATGCCTATTTCGGGCCCTAGTTCTGTTTTGAGACTCTGGATAAGGCACCTCCTGTCTCTGATTTCGGCTTCTCCATTTATAAACTGGGGTGATTACCCCTCAGCTTTGTACCGCTCTCAAAATGAGCAAAGATGAAAAGATATGGAAAAGCATTTCACTGGCTGCCAGGTGCTACAGAAGGGCAAACTCCTGATTGTGTTGTGTGGTGTGAAGCCCCACCAGGCCAGGCACAGGGCATAGCACTGTGGAAGTAGCCTGGGCCGCCTGTGGCTGCTTGGATGGGAGCAAATGCATGCTGGTGTTGCTGGTGATATGTGAGGTTGTGCTGCCTGTGGAGATGCGAGATGAGAGTTTTCAGTTTCTTTCCCCCCTTGCTCTCTGTTCTCCCTAATGGACACTTGGCCCCGGGGTGACTCACACAGTAAACCATCAGCAATTGCTTCAGAAGGCTTGGAGTCCTCTCAAACATATGCTGACTTTTTGTTGTTCTATGTTTGGTTTGGAGTAGTGGGGCAGATCCCTGGGAGGCCATTAGCTGTGGGACCTGGAGTGAGCCCCTGCCCTTGGCGAGCCTTTGTGGTTGCATCTGTAAGGTGGGAGAAGGTGGGGTGAGGGTGAGAGCTGAGTGGGGGTCCGTGTTAACTGAATGCTAGTCCATGGATCAGAGCCAAGTTGGTGGCACTAAAACCCTCTCAGAAGATTTTTAACCGTACAAGTTTCCTGACCGCTGCTCTGGATTGGGTCTGTATTTTTTGTGAGCTTCTTAGATGCGTAGCCAGTACAGGGGGCCCGCTGGAGTAGGGGAACCAGTATGTGATGGCTTACGGGCTCTGCATTCTCTACCCCTTGGTGCCCATCAGGGGTCTATGAATAGTATTAGCATTAGTAGAAGTGGTATTCGGTTATTAAGTTATTATTAGGGTCATCTCTGTGTGTGGTTGTTCAAGTTACCAGGTGACTGTCATTCTTTACAATGTGCATTTGGAGTTGGGGAATTTCTGTAAGCCTCAGTAAGTAAATGGAGTCAACAAAATGGACAGGAAGACAAGCAGGAGGTGTCTTAGAATGATGATCAGGAGGAAACCCGGTGTTCCGCCTGACTGACCCTCTTGGTTTTGTGGTGGAAAATAGCAGCATTTGTGCTGAACCCAGCTGAGTGAATCCATCCCAGTCATGCACACTGAAAATGGGTTCAATTCTGAGGACATTTGAGAAAAAAAAAAAAAGCAGTGAGGATGGGATAGCTCTCCCTGATACCTGATCACTTTGAGAGCTTTTCTCTTGTTTCCAGATCCTTTTGTGACACGCCTGGCCCCTCAGCCACAGTCAAAAGGTGAGGAACAGGGCCTTACCCCAGAATCCTTCTTTGGAAATTCACCACCTTCCATGTCTACACCTGAGGTGTGGAAAACATCCCTGTGCCAGGCGGTGCTTGGTGGTGGGAAGTGGAATTTGTGGACCCCAACCCTGAGTTTGGAGGAAGTAAACGTCTTTGCCCTGCCCTGTTACCATCACAATCCGGTTTCCTAAAATGCAGGGCCCAGCTCCACTAACGTCCACTCAGAAATCACTTTCTCATCAAGCCAAGGACATTTCAGAGTTGCTGTGTTTTCTCTATCATTTCCTTCCCTCCTCCCCCACTTCACTTCCTGTTTTTTCTTCCTCTTTCTCCACCCCCACCCCATCTCTCCTGGCATGTCCCTTGTTGTCTGAGAACAGGAACAAAGCCTTGAGCCAGGGAGCGTTGATAATTGTGACTTCCTGAGGTGCCCTCTTGCTGCTGCCCCTGCTGCTGAGAGCCAGAACCAGCCCAGCCTCTGGGGGCCTGGGAGCCCCAGCTGGGAGCCTGGCAGGAAGTCTTGGACTTTAGACCCCTACTTCCCCCACAAGCCCACCACCATCCCCCACCCCCATCAGAAAGAGAATCTAATAAAAATAATCTTTCATGCCCTTACCACAGTTTCAGCTTTAAAGAACTGTCTCATGCATTTGAGCTGAAACATTGGAAAAAACAGACAACTCTAGTGTTTGCCCTAGTAACAAACTATATAGTTCAGTTTAGATAGCAAAAAGTAGATTTAGGAGACATGAGTTTATTTCTGCTTCTGCATTGTATCTCTTTTTGACTCTGTAGATCATCCTAGCTCTTGAAAGATTGGTTTCCTACCTCTTTGGAAAAATGGAATTAATGGTATCTCACTGGGATTTTTTGAGGACAAATTAATAAGAAAGTATATTTATACAATTCTCATGGTATGCCTGACAGATATTTGCTTAATAAGTGAAAGCTCCCCTCTATTTTCTATGATTTGGTTTTCTGCACAAAGGAGTGGCCATTCAAATGCACAGGAGCCAGGAAAAAAACCCTGCAATAAATGATACTCATGGAAAAAGAGTTCATGTCTGTTGCTGTGTTTCTCTGAAACGTGGACAGAAAGAGAGAGAGAGAGAGAGACCTGGGCCCACATATGCTTCTCACTGAAGAGCAGTGCTCACTCCCCACTGTGTCACTGTGTTCATGGGTCATGGTATTTTATAACAATATTTTTCTAATGAGAAACAGGGAGAACCATCCCAACCACATGCCTGAGGTGGGCTGTTTTACTAATTTAGCTCCCAGGGGTGAAACTACAAAAACAGCAATCTGGAAAAAGTGCCACCTCCCTTTTTCAAAATGTGTTAAACAAAAAATAAAAAATAAAAAGACTTCCCATTCAAGGTCAATGACCACTTGTTTGAGAAGTCAGCCTGACCATGTGGCTGCATTTAAAAAATATGTCAAAGGCCAGAGAGTCAGAGACATGTTCCAATGTGGATTCAACTCCCAAACTGCTGAGTCCCTGAGTGAGGCTGCTTTCTTCTGTGAGCCTCAATCCCCTAATTATAAAATGAAAGAATTAGACAAGACTATCTCTTAGATGTCCTTCAGGCCTGATAATCTGTGATCTTGTGACTCTCTGCTCTCCTTAAAAAATACATTGTGACTAGTGGAGAATAGGAAATTGCTTCTCACAGTAACATGACTTGCATTCCCTTTTTAGCAGGGTACCACCATCTTAAGGACAGAAAAGCTACAGGACTCTAGGAGGCCACCGTCCTGATTTGGGAAGTCCAACTTACTTTGGCCAGACAGCAGCTAAGCTGGTTCATCCCATCAGCCTGGATTGGTGAAACTGAATCACAGGAGATATTTCCAGGTAAGAAACAATTGACTTTCGTTATAACGTGTAGCACACTGATAACCATCATTATACTGCAGGAAGTATGTCGTATGCATGCTTATGTTATGAAAGACATGAAACTATTAAGGAAAAGGTTCAAGGCTCTGGGTTCTATAGCTGTATTCTGAGTGGGATCTGTGCTATCTTGAGGCTTTTGAGGGTTAAGGAATGAAAGAGGGTAGCTGAGAATTACATGCAGGGGAAGAACAGAGTCGAGCTGTAGATCTAGGTTCCTTTTTCCTTGCAGAATCATTTAGTGTTCCTTTCTGCCCATGCTAGCCAACTAGATTTAGACAGTAGGAGGAGAGGTCCTTTGGTAGCCAATCTGAGATGGAATTTAGATCCCATGTCAGAGAACGGACTTGCATCCCACCTGCTACAACATCTTTAGAAACAAATTCAGTTCATGAAGTTTCATCCAAGGGCGCTTACAGCAGACAGGCTGCAGCTAACCATTCTCATCACCCGCTTTCCTGACCACCAACGCAATGTCTCTGTCTGCTTATTGCTCGTCTCTCTCCCCTCCTCCCAGTCACTTATGGATCCTTTCCTTCTTATGTGCAAGGAATGTGGCCACATCTACTAGAATGTCTTCATTGGAGTTGCACCTGATGTAGGCTGACATTCCTCCTAGATGACTAAAGTTTGGTCAAGCGTTCAGCTGCCTGGATTGTGGTATATTAACACATCTCTCTTACGCAGGCCCAGTGTAAGGAATCATGGTCAGGAGTCATGAAAAAAATGCCAACACACTGAGATGGCCACACATCTTCACTCTTGCACTAGTTTTTGGTGTTATCTTCTGCTATCCTGTCTTGAAGCTCTTTTTCAGCTAGATACCTTGACTTTTCTGAAAAACTAAAACCAGAAGCATTTCACGAAGCTAAGCACAGGACAGAAGGTAAGACCAGGTGATATCTAAAGCTTGTTTTGCATTCCCAGGATTGTCTTATCCCAGACTTGTTTCTTATGCCAGACTCTTATTCTTTGGGGAACATGTTTATCTCATGCCTGCTTCCTTTCTTCCTCTTGTGGTTTCTTTCTCTAGAGTGGTTTCTGAGCTATAGCATAATTCAGAGGAAGGAGAACAGTTTTGCGACTTAGACACACATGACTTCAGATCTCAGCTGTGCTCTGTGTTGGCTCAGTGATTTTGCTTAAATCACCATTTTAAATCCCCAAGCTTCTGTTTCCCCACCTGTAAGGTAGGGATAGTACACTCCATGTTATAAGCTGGTGTTGAGGATTAAGTGAGATCACGCATGAGCATGGTTTCTTGTTACAGGAGACCTCAGCAAATACCAGCTCCTTTCCCTACCTACCCTTTTTTAGAGCTACTTGAATATAGCTTTGATCCCATATCTGGATTTCATTTGAGCCTTGTGCCTAAAATCTAGGACAGGCCTTGTCCACAAATACTGTTAAGCCCCAACGATTTAAAAAGGAGAGAAACTGTTAACAGCCTTTTTATTTCAGAGCTCTTCATCCATAGAAGCCTTTTCTCACCCGGACTTTAGCCAGATTGCCTCTCCAGCCTGGCCATTGGAAGGTTTTCTCTGCCATACCCAAAGTTAGAACTACTACTTTCCTAGCCCTTTGTCCCATGAGGTATTAGCTGAAAACTAATTCCCTCCCGGTGGCTTTTTCCCTTCAGACTAGCCTACATCCAAGACCAAGAGTAAGGGTCAATTGATTTGGGGCCGGTATCCTGGCCTGGCACTCAGCAAGACAGTCAGGGTCCAAGCACATGCTCATTCAGGGCTTTCTTCCTTGCCTGTTAGCTTTTCTAAGGCAGTCATTCACCCAGTCATCCATTCAGTCAGTAGATGTTCATGGAACATGAACCATGCAGTGGGTGGCTCGCACTATCTTGGTGCTAGGGATACAGGACAGAACAAAACCAAGTTCCTGTTCTCAAGGAGCTTGCATTCAAGTAGGATCAAGGGATCATCAACAAGTAGCAAACATGTATGTATTACATCTGGTAGTATTAGGTGCTATGAAAAAAATAAAGCAGAAAAAAATAAAGCTAAGTCAGAGAGCTAGAGAGTTGAGGGAAATGGACATTACTGTTTTATATACAGTGCCAGGGAACACCTCTGGATAAGGCATTATTTGGGCAGCATCTGGAGAAAGTGAGGGAGCAAGGCTAGAAGGAAGAGCCAGAACTAAATCTCTGATCGGGGAATGCACTTGGGCTTTACCCAGTCTCGAGTGACCAGTAGGATTGGAGCAGAAGGAATGAGGAGCCTGTGGAATGAAGCGAGGGCAGAAAGGACTTGGGTGTTTATGTTCTGGCTGGCTTTTCTGGAGATTCTTCTACCCTTCCTTTCTCTTCCCCAGAGCTCTTTCCCAATGCAGTGTTAGTCATTCATTCAAAAATCTTTACTGGGCCCTAGCTACTGGGACTCTGTAGATTAATGAGTCTGGGCCCCATTCTTAGGACTCCATGGCCTGGTGCTATCAAGGTTTCTTGGGGAAGTTGCATCGATAAAGTAGGTTGATGTAAACAGTTGTCTTAATTTGATCATCATAGAGTCAATTTGCTAGAGTAGGAATTTTCCACTGGAACCTCCCACAGGTCACTTTTACCTGTTCTCTTGGAATTTACTTACATGATAGACTATTGGTCTTTCTCGCCTTCAGGGTAGAAGGAGGATCATTCATTCAGCAGATATATGAGTGCCTCTTCTATGTGAGTGCTGTACCAGGCACTGGGTATAAATGAGGACTAGGTCAGCCCCTGCAGTTGAGTTGCTTCTGGTTTTACCAGGAGACGCACTAATGGCTAGACAACACACTTTGATCAGTGTTGCATTAGGAATGGGTGCTTGGGGAGCTCAGAGGAGGAGTCCCTGACCCAGATTGAGGGGTGGAACCATGGAAGCTTCTTGGGAGCAGGTTGTCTGCACTCAGTCCTGGAGATGAGATGTAGCCAGGCAGGAACCAAGCAAGGAGGTTAAGATGCTTCAGGGAAGGGTGTTAGGAATTTCCAGGCCGGGAGATGGAGACACATAGGCAAGGACTGTGCCTCGGGGAATCCTGTGCACCTTCACCTCCCTCCTGAGACTGTGGAATGTGGAGAGGTGAGTCTGAGAGACCAAGGGACTCACTTAGAGAGGGAGGTGAGGGTATGAATCAGGGATTTTTCAGACCAAGCTAAGTGGTTTGAGTCTGTTTTGAGGACAGCTTAGAACTGCTCACAGTTTTTAAGCAAAAATGGATGAGTTATTAGGATTGGAGTTTTAAGAGGCAAAGAGCCTAATTTTATTTGAAACCCTGGTTCCTTAAAATGCTTATTTTATACCTCTTTCATATATTATTATAAGATTATAGTTTCCTTGGCTGTAAAATAAGTTCACACAGATCAACTGAATGAGATGGCTGTGGGTAGCAGATGCATACAATGTCCCTTCCCACCATTGATGCTGCAGTGAATGCTAAACTTGTCATTTCATGCCCAGTCTTAGTACACAGATAGCTGTGAAATGGTTAGAACATAAGTTTTGTTTCTCTTAGAACTGGCTGGCAAAAACTTAAACTATTCTAGTAGAAATGATGGGATTTAGGTCTTGTTACATTTTCTTCCCATCAGAAAATGAATGAGTAATATCCATTCCTTAACCCTCTCTCCACTGAATACTAAAGTCAGAGTGTTCTTTTAGAAATTACGCACTCATTAAACAGGTAATATCTGAGTATCTACCAATGGTCACACCCTGTGTTGGGCCGTGAACATCAGGACAAATCAGACAAGGTCAGCACCTCAAGGAGTTTCTAATCACGTGACAAAGACAAAAGCAGCCAACAGAGAAGCAGATGGCAGACAAGAACCCAGACATGAACAAAGTGATGTGGATGCAGAGGATGAAATGTGTTCTCTGCCCAGGAAAGTCAGGGAAGGCTCCAAAAGGAGCCATATGATTTGGGCATTGAAGGATGAGTAGGAGTTGCGAGCTGGAAGAGAGATGCTCAGGTACAGAACTGCACTCTATAAATAAGGGCCAACATTCATTTCTCTGTCATGGGTGAGGAGGAAATAGCCAGCCTGCTCATCATGCTCAGATAATGCCTCAACTCTGCTTTTCAAAAATCCATTAGTAGCCACCTCCTCATCCTCCCACTTTGTTCCCAACAGCGACTAAAAAGAAGCAAATTGACTAATTTGAATTGATCTTTTCTCTGACCCTATGGAGGTGTTAGTGAGCAGAATAGGGTAAGGGGACCAAGAAAAGAAGTAGAAAGGAGGAGGAATTCATCTTCATCATCCAGAAACGCTGATTTAACAGCATGGATTACACCATAGCTCTCTGGTGGTAAAATGCAGCTTTACAGAGACCTGAGTCTGCTTCTTCTAAGTGAAAACTGTATTTCCCCTGCTACCTTCCCTTTGGAACTCTTGGGGTGGAACTCTTGGGGTAGAATATGTATATGTGTGTGTGTATATATATATATATCTATATATGCACACACACACAGAGGGTTTTATGTACGTGTGTATGTACATATGCATGTACCTACGTGTGTGTATATATGGGTATATATGTGTGTATGTATATATGTGTACATTATGTAGAATTTATTCTAGAACCTAGCTCAGAGCATGGTGCAGTTGACCTCCTATCACCCCTGCTGGCTGCAAGATGAATGGATGGGCTAGACTTAATCTTTCACCTGCACACTTCCCCAGTTGTGCCAAGATCTCTGCACTTCGTGGTACTGGATGTTCACAAGCTCCAGGAGGTAGCCTGGGACCAGGTACAGAAGATGAGACTGAAGCTCAGGGAGGAAATGGCTTGGCCAAAGCCCACAGCTGTGAGGACATCAGGATCCAAACTCTTGTCTAATTGTCCCCTCTTTCACTGTTCATGCTGTGTATCACCCTCTCCACAAGCCTATGGGGCTTCAGGCAGACCAAGGAGGAAATTATGAAACTAAGCATTGTGTTTGGACTTGAATCTCACCTGGACTCCAAAATGCAGGACCGGGCAAGCAGTGAGGTCAGAGCAGCATATGTCTAGAAGCCCTCGGAAAGCTACATCTTTCCCTTCGGGGGTCCGCTCACATGCTTTCAGGGATGGTGAACTCACCACCTTATAAGGAAGCTGGTTCTACTTCTAGAGACTGGGCAGCCATCCCTCCTTACAGAATCATCTCTAAACCTAACCATGCCTCAGTTCTAGTTGGCATAAACATCTCAACAGCGAGGGGCTTTGGGGTGGGTGCTTTGCTCTGATGGAGTCTTTTGGAGACAAGGGCAGCTCTGTCACATGCTCTTTACCAAAATGCATTTAGAATCACTTGCCCTCCTTACAGCCAGGGCTGTCTGGTTTCTTGTTCTTAGGGGCCCTATTTGTTCTTCCTAATGGGCTGGGCTGGGGACAAGACATATGACCTGGGGTTCTTCTCTTCTTCCTCTAAGGAGAAGTAGACCTCAACAAGTGCTTTCTCTGACCCCATTCTCTCCAAAACCCTGGCTGCACCCAGGGGGAGTGAGCATTCCCTTTTATATCAGGAGAAATTCAAAAGGATTGTTTAAAAAGAGAAAGAAAGAGAAGATGCTGGGAAGAGGGAGTGAAGAGAGAAAGGGGCAATGTTCTTTTTAGAGGCAGCATCCTCTTGCCCCTGCTCCTGCACTGAGGCAGTTTCGAGCACACTCTCATCCTGGCCTGGGCTCTGTAGTCCTCCTTGTCCTCAGAATCCACACCAAAGACTACCTCGCCAAGGAAGCCTGACTTGATAGCCCAGCTGGAAAGAGTTCCTTTCTCCTTCAAAACCCCACAGTGCTGCCCCTCTGTGGCACTTTCTTGGTACAACAAGGATGCAGATTTAAAAATAAATAAAGAGGGAGAGAGGGAGAAAACCAGAAAGTGACCATGATATCTGGGGTTAACTTGGATTCTAATCCAAACTGCCACTGAGTCACCAGTTAACCTTGGTCAGCCCTCCTCCCTTCATCGTAACTATGAGGGAATTGGGCTTGATCATGCAGCTTCTTCCATCTCTGAACTTGTCTTTAAGATACCCAACTCCCAAAAGAGTCCTTGAGGGCTGTTGAATCCCACATGGCCTGGCAGGACCCTGGTGTGGAGTTTGCACTTAAATCACCACCAACAGGAAGCCCCGCTGGAGGGAGATAAATTACCTCTCACCTCTTCGTAGCAGGCAAGGCCTCTGTCAGCCCTCAACAGACAACAGCTGATCTGGCTCACAGAGTGAAAGGGGCTCAGTGTGTACCCTACCCTCCTGGCTGCAGGCCTTAATGAGGCAGCTACCAGCCCTGTGCTGAGAGCTCTGGCACAGCTACAATGTTCAGTTCCTTGGTTTCAGTTCTCTCTCCTTCTTCCAACCCTGTCTTTGTTCCTGCTTTGGGTTGGAATCTAGGAGAACCGGCTTGGCAGGGGGTTTTGGCCTAGGCCTGATGGCAAGCCTACCTTTCTCTGTTTGGAGCTGTAAGCTGGCAGCACACTGGCCCCAGGATGGAGACTGCACTGACCCGGTAGTAGGCAGAGTCCGGGGGTTGGGGCCAGGTGCACACTGGCAGAGGAGTTATGAAGAATCGTGACTGCTGAAACCAACTTGGCCAGTGTTTCCTCTAAGGACCCCACTTGGTCATCTGTGCTCCTCTTAGGGCCTCATTTCTCTTACCTCAGCTCTTTCCTGTCTCCAGACCCGAAGGCTTGACTATGCTGCAAATCAAGGAAGAAGGGGAACAGCCATCTATCAACTGTCTTCAGTTGCTGTAATGTGTAATACAAGGAGCCTAGAAACTTGATGACATTTGCAGAGGCACATGTAGCTAGTTTCAGGACCCCCATAAAACAAATACTGTACATGTGAGTGGGCTTCAGGTAAGATTTGCTTTAATTGTGGTCTTGATATAATCCTTTGTAGTGCTGCAGTTAAGAGCCCAGGCTCTGGAGCCAGATGCTCTTGGGCAAGTTTTCAAACCTCTTCATAGGACAGTTTCCTCATCTCTAAAATGAGAAGACTAATAGCACCAACCTTGTAAGGGTTCTGGGATCACTACCTGAGTTAATACAGGCAAGCATTTGGAAAAGTGCCTGGGGCACTGTAAGGACTCTGTGATTGTTAGCAATTTTTATTTTGACTTAAAGCCTCGGTTGAATTTTCTATTAGAAGCAAGTGTCTGCCATACAACGTAGGTTCAAACACTTGCTGACCATTTATGAAGCATCTCCTGGATGATTGAGTTGCAAAGCCGAGGCCAGCATCCTGACGGATATCAGGATGAACACCCGGCAGACATCCCTAGTGTGTGACACCATCTGTGCCCTTCAGACAACCAAGGAAAGGTCTTAGGATTCCAGAGGCAGGAAGGTCCTCTGAGCGAGGAGTCCTCTCAGAGGGAGTGAGAGGCCTGGAGTCAGTGTGGAAGCAGGAGCCCGGGGGAGCCAGGGAAGGCTGGAGAGTTGACAAAGGGTGACGTAGGGAAGGATGTCATTGTGAATGGGATAGTGGGAAACCAGCCAAGGGGAGAGAGGAATTGTTCAACAAAGAGTTTTTGGTGCTAGTGTGAGCAGTAAGTTCTACTTGAAGCCTTTTCAGTGCAAATGCCTGCAGGCCCCAGGAGCAGATCCCTCCACTTTGCCCAGCCCTGGAGTCAGGAGGAGGGAGATGTAGAATGTTCAAGTGGCGGGTTCCCACCGTGAAGGACAGAGCAGGCCACCACTCTACGGCCAAGTGAGCACAGGCCTCTTCTGTGTGCAGCCTGAGGCAGGCTGGCCTCGTCCCCTTGAGGGACCTGACAAAGACTGGCTTGTTCTCCCCCGACATCAGGCCTCACCCTCAGGATTGCTCTGTCCTTCTGGGGCAGGATCTCACACAGCGATAATCGAGCGAAACAGAAGAGAAGAATGGAGTGAAGATGGTCCCAGGCGTCGCCATGCCAACCCTGGGCCTGTGGAGGGCGCCTGCCCTGTGTCCTGTCTGCACCTCCCAGTTTGCACCAGGGATATCCCAGTGGTAGAGCTGCTGGTATCGGTTCAGAAAGGCCAGCTGCCTCGTCACTGAGCCACCGAATGTTACAGTAACGTTCAGTAATAGCTGCAATAGGTAGGTTGACTGTTCTCTGCTTTTGCATTGCATTTAGCGATCTAGATTTTCTATTATAACAGATATTTTTGTGGAGAGTTGAACCTTGGAAATTTCATAAATCTTATTTTTGGAGGGATCTGAGGGATCATTGGGTCTACCTCTGTGTGATCTCATTTGCAGGTGAAGAAACAGGCTGGGAGAGTGGAGGCAGTGTTGGTTGTAGAAAGAGTGAAGACTTCATAGCCATCTAGTCCAGCTCAAGGACTGAGATATTGTATGTGAAGCACTTAGTACAAAGCCCAGCCTGCAGTGGGGGCTCAGTGGGTCCTATCCCTGGTTACAATGTAAACTTTCATTTGTGCAAGTGGAACTAATCAAGGGGCCCACTTGTAAAACCAAATGCATACTAAACCAGTAGGAGAGGAACTCCGGATTTCGGGACCAATCCTAAAACGACCACTGGTTACTTGGGGGAGGCAGAAGAGAAGGGGATATGACACTGGGACTTCAGATCTTTAGTCAAGTGCAGTGGTTCTCAAACTTGAGGACACTGAGGATTCGATTAAAACATAGACTTGCGTTCAGCAGTTCTGAGGTGGGGCTTGAGAGACTGCATTTGTAATAAGCTCCCAGGTGGGTGCCAGTCTCCAGACCATGCTCAGAGCAGTAAGAGCCTAGAAAACTCAAAGAAAAAACAATAAGCCATTTTGTATTTCATGGTTAGAAGCAATTTATGCAGAATTCATTGCCAGAGCTCCTTTATGGACAAGAACTACTGGCTCCTGTTTGGAGCCTGATCCAGTCCATCTAATGGAGTCACACAGAAGGGAATGGTCTTCATGAGTTCCAGAATCTTGCTGTGCCGCAGTTTCCTTATCTAAAGGCACTACTCTGCAGAGAGATTTTGAAGATGAGTAAGAGCCAGCAAAGAGCTTGGCATCCAGTAGGCATTCAAGAAAAGGCAGCTGTGGAGAGGGATGTGGCACCTTGCCAAGGCCATACAGCTGCTACGTGGCAGGTGACCGGGTGTCTCTACGCTCCGTCTCAGTGTATTTTCCATCTTCCACTGAGTACCAGAGGACCTGAGATTATTTTGTGTAGCTGAGCTGGGTTGTCAGATGATATGAGCTGGGGAGCAACTCAGACCTCATGTTGGAATCACAATTTGCTGTCTTCAAGTGGAATGAAGAAATAGCCCAAACAGTGCTTGATCTGTCTGGGAGGCTTGCAGGCTCTCCAGAGGGTGAAAGGCAAAGCGTTCGAATGTAGAGGACTGTGTGGCCACAGACAGCAGCCTGGGAACCCCGACGACAGGGGAAAGTTTAAATCAGGATAGAGCATCGCTGAGTCATCAGGAGCCAGGCTGGGCTTACACAGAAATTCAGAGATAAACTTTGTGCGTTTGTTTGTTTGGTTTAATTGTGGTCTTGGCTTATCAATCTAAACAGGGAAGTTCCATGAGGACTTTGCTGCCTTCTCTTGTGGATTGCAGATTTCCTGCAGGGACATCCTCCATGGGAGCAACTTGTACCTTTGTCCATCTCCCATCTGTCCATAAAAGCAGGCTCGGGGGTACAGATCATGAATTGAGGGTCTTCAACTATGTGCATTTCCATTTCCAGAGTATTTTCTGACTCAAAATATAATTTTAAGTGGGGGTTTTGTTTAAATGAGTTATAGAAACTCATTCTGATAAGCTTGTGGTAGGATTCCAACCTTTCTTTTTACCCTTAACTTGAGTGAAGTTGATTCAGCCACAACACAGATGTTTTCCTCAGTGGAAAACGTGACTTAAGAAACTAGTTGAAGGGGCTGGAGAGGATAATTACTAAGCCAAATGGCTAAGTCTATTCACGTTTCCTTCTCAAATGTCATAGCCCCGTTTTCTGGCAAAGTGGTCAAGACAGATGCTTTTGAAATGACCTTGAAGCAGCAATTGAGTTACTACATTAAGTAAGCGTTGGCTACTACAACTGTGAGTTTAAACACTTTTTACAAATGAGTGGAATCACGTTTAGAAAATATTCAGGATGTTGAACTTGATACTTCTGCTTTGTCCTTTTTTCACAAATTTCTGCATTTGTGTTCGGTACCTACCTGACCAGGTCTGGTATTTTTAATGTGAGATGATAATGCCCCTTAGTGGATAAGGTACTTAACTGCAAGCTCTTGCATTTGCCCAGAGAAAAGCTCTCCAATTTAGCAGAAATATACAATATAGTAACTCTTCAAACTAACCTACTGGAGGGTAATTGTGAGAATTAAATGAGGGCATTTGCATGTAGCGCTTAGCATAGCATCGAGTGCAGGGCTGACACTCAGCGAATGGCTGCTGTTAGTGTAGTTATCGGATCATGAGAATTTGATTTAGATGAAGGCCTTTTGAAAGCAGGGGAATGAGTGTCCTTGGGATTTCAGTGTCAGGGTCCTCTGTGTCTGCTCAGGTATGCATTATGAAAAGGGACTGAAGAGAATCATGTCCTCCCCTGGGACAGCACTACCCGCTGGCTCTCCTGCCCAGAGGTGGAGGCAGTAAATACCTGAAAATGCACTCCTGAAAATGCATGGAAGTCTCCCAGCCTTCAGCATTCTTCGAAATTCCTTCAGCTGGAATTTTGACTTAAAGGAGTGTACTAGTTCATTCTCACGCTGCTAGAAAGACATACCCAAGACTGGGTAATTTACAAAGGAAAGAGGTTTAATTGACTCACAGTTCCACATGGCTGTGGAGGCCTCACAGTCAAGGAGGAAGACGAATGAGGAGCAAAGTCACATCTTACACGGTAGCAGGCAAGAAAGCTTGTGCGGGGGAACTCCCATTTATAAAACCATCAGATCTCATGAGACACATTCACTACCATGAGAACAGTATGGGGGGGAAGTGCCACCATGATTCAATTACCTCCCACCAGGTCCCTCCCACGACATGTCGGGATTATGGGACCTACAATTCCAGATGAGATTTTGGGTGGGGACAGAGTCAGACCATATCAAGAAGTTCCATAAAATGAGCATCCACCTCCGCTTGGTGGGGAGACATTGCTATTTTGCAGCATCTATCCTTGAAGTTGGACTTCTCACGCAGCTCAGCCTCCTGCAGCTGATTGGCTGCTTCAGAGGCCAGAGCAGAGATGGTTCTGCAGGCTTGTCATCATGAAAGTAAGTCTCTGGCCATCACATCCTAGCAGTGGGTGGCAGGCTCTTCTCAAATCCTGCTGTCTTTTTTAGAAGTTAATTTGTGCATCATTGAGGACATATTTCACTTTTCTTGTTGACTCAAATTATCTTTCTTTTAACTTTCAAGCATAGCATGAGATCTTTAGCTATATCTTTATTAAAATGAGTGTCACCATGGTGGAACCATTTTTATTCCTCCCCTCCCTTCATCCCACCCTCTTTTTTCCTCCTTTTCTCTTTCTTCCTTATTTCCTTCCTTCCTTCCTTCTTCCTATCCTCTCACCCTTTTCCCCCCTCCCATCCACATGCCCTCCTTTCCTTCCCTCTTTCTTTCTAAGTAGTTGCCTGGAAGGACCTCAGGCTGGAAGAACTTGGATTCTGATTGTGGCCTTCACACTATCATTCTTCACTCATTCTTTCATGCATTCAGCCACACACATTCCCTGGGTGGCTTGCTGTGGATTCAATCACAAGTAAGTTCCAGTTCCCATCCAGGGGGTCTTCACCTCCTAGGAGGAGAGACAGGCAGGTAAGCAGGAGTGACCAGGAATGTGGAAATGTGGTGGGAGAGAGGACACAGGGGGCTGTGGCACAAGGTGCAGAGGGCAAGGAGTCCCCCCTGCAGGACTGGGACAGGCATCGTGGCCTGGCAGGAAACTACTTTCAGAGCAGGCTTAAGAGCCACCCAGGAAATCTGGTCCCACTACTTCAACATAACCAGAAGACTGGGAGCTGGCAATGGCTTGGCTTTCACAGATCTTAAAGCCAACCCTGTGACAGCTGCCACTCCAGAGACCCCTCATGTCCAACCTCCACCACCACCCCCCCACCTCCGCCCCTCCGCCCAGTACGTGTGATCTCAGCAGATCCCAAAGTGAAGGACGTTGGGCTCCTTTCTTCACACCTCACAGGCGTCTTGGCAGTGGGATGTTCACTGGGAGTTTCTCCCTCTCCTCCACCTCGAGCTACAGCCCCTTTCTGCAGGAAACCCTCCCAGACTATTCTAGTCCAGATGAGGCACCTCCTCTTTTAGACTCCTTTCCCCAAACACTTTGCCTTTACCCAGATCACAGTCCTCACTAGAGTCTTCCTCCCCATTATAGTTGTCTTTGAATGCAGATTCTCATCCTTACTGGTCCTTACTGCAAGAGCCATGTTTTATTTAGCCCTATTCTCTAAAAAGAGCAATGCTCATGTATTTATTTCTTTGACTGGTTACCAGATTTATTTATTTATTTTTTGAGATGGCGTCTCTCTCTGTCACCAGGCTGGAGTGCAGTGGTGCAATCTCGGCTCACTGCAACCTCCACCTCCTGGGTTCAGGCAATTCTCCTGCCTCAGCCTCCCAAGTAGCTGGGACTACAGGCACATGCCACCACACCCAGCTATTTTTTTTTTTTTGTATTTTTAGTAGAGACAGGGTTTCACCATGTTGTGAAGGATGGTCTTGATCTCTTAACCTTGTGATCTGCCCGCCTCAGCCTCCCAAAGTGCTGGGATTACAGGCGTGAGCCACGGCCCCCGGCCTAGTCACCAGATTTCAATGCTGTATTAAGAACTGTGCTAGATACAGGGGATGGATTGATGATTAACACCTGTCCTCAAGAAGTTCAACAGATAGGTGTAAATATTACATTTTTGATAGAAATATATGCAAGATATACAGGATATATATATATATATATATATATATATATATATATATATGTTGGGACTAAAAGAAGTCAATCCTATTTTTGAGGCAAGTGCCAAGGATGATGAGGGGTGATGGATAGAGGGAGGATCAGCAGAATTGAATAAAATGGGAAGTGAAATGTGGGTAGTTAGGTAACTAAGCAGAGCCTATACAGTTTTGCCAACTCTACAGAAATTTTGGTTATGCTTGTAATTTCTAGGAACTTTACAGAAGTTTATCATGTGTTCCAACTACATGGGGCAGTACACATAGGCTGCCGAAGCCTTGGGATTTTTGAGTCTCAACTTTATCATCTGTACCTGAACAGGACTGGGCCACTGGGCTGGATCAGGGACACTTCTCCCTGTTCCAGCATTCTAGGATTTTATACAATGAGAATGTCAACAATTCACAAAAATGTATTCAGGCAACCTAATGCCAAACCATGTGCTAATAAGTTAATTAGAAATGAGACACAATTTGCTATGAGTTTCCACAGCCCTCTTGCCCTGACCAGAGGCCACAGGCCATGTCTTAAGCCATTTTCTGTTTCCCAAAAACATCTAATAATAGTGCAGGAGTATTCGACAAAATAACATAGTGGCTTAGACTGTGAGTTTTCTGGTATGATGGGCTGTGTTTAAATTCCAGTTCTGCTGGTGATTAACTGAGTTACCCTAGGCAAGTTACTCACTTGCTTCAGTGTTCTCGTTTCTAAAAGGGAGATGGTAGTAGCACAGAATCTTGAGTTTGCTTTTGGCATTAAAGATGACACTATATGTATTTAGCACAATGCCTAGCACAGAATATATGCACAGTCTGTGGAAGTTATTATTATTATTCATCTTACTAAGTAAGCAGTAAGTACTCAATTGCATTTTTTGTTGGCTGTAAATCAGTACATATTGGCAATATGCTCTGTCTGCCAAAATCCCTGAGTACCATCTTGGGTTACCTCAGTAGAGGTTTAGTGTCCAGATGGAAGCGAGATGCAGTCCTTCTGGGCAGACCACACTCAGAGGCCTGGAAACCGTTCTGGATACTACACAGTAGTAGATTCTCTGACCAGTAAGAGTGTGTGAATAAAATATCAGGTTGATCTGAGAACCTCTTTTCCCCTGTAATATGGAGGAAGAAGCATACGTTTTGTTTTAGGAGGAGAAGTGACAGGGGAGTCATGGAAGATGTCCTTATTTATTCCACATATATGTATGGCATTCCTTCTATGTGTCAGGCCCTATTCTAGGAGTTGAGGGCACATAAATAAATGATGATATATACTTAAAAGAAAAGCAGAGTTACTGGGGAGTGGGAGTAAAATAGTATTTTGGACAAAACTGTTAGGTTGAACTCCACTGAAAAATAAATCCCGAATGAATATACAAAGAAAATCTATGCAGATTGTGGAAAAACATTCCAGGCAGAAGGACTAGCAAGTGCAAGGGTCCCGTGGTAGAAACATGTGGTCTCCAGCTAGAAGCTGAGGTCTGAGGAGGGGTGAGATGACATGCCCAGGGTCTTCTGGCTAATCCATGTTACAATTGAGATGTTGATATTTAATGTCAGACTTTTCAGACAAAAAAGCTCATGCCTATTGTACTGTACTCTTTAGACAAGGGAGGGAGAGAAGAGCCTGGGGCCCCAGGGGTCCCCCTTGTGTGCTTTATCCCCGGTATCCCTGGCCCGCAGTTCCAGAGATGACCAGCAGAGGGTACCATGCACCGGGTTTCCGCAGCCACTGCCTGAAGCCATGTTGAATGAGCAAATGTCTGCAGCCGCCTCTGTGAGATCTAAATGTCTCCTTGGCAGGAAATCCGCGAGGAGCACGGCGGGGTTGTGCAAACAGCCTTACAATGTCCGCTTGTGTGTGTGCACTCGCCTTCGCCTGCATCGCCCACAATGCTCTGTGTTTTTTTTTGGATAATGGGGCTCTGTGGACCCATGTGCCTTGTCATGCAAAGGGAGTGACCTGCGTTTGTCATAAATGGGCTCTTGTATGATTAATAGCCATGTGAATGATCCCATCGCAGCAGCAGTTCAGGACCCAGCTTCACCTCTTCACTGACGTGGTGGTCTGAGTCGGCTTTCTTCTCCAGCTCCAAAGCAACAGTGCAGGATTTATTGCTAAAAGGGCAATGACTTGTTTGCGCTGTGGTTGCAATTTTTGAAATGCAAGGCAGGGGGCGCAGATACTTATTTGTTAGGACCTACTGCATGCCAGATGCTACACTAAGAACTTCTACCTGCATTATCTTACTTACTTAGTAACAATACTAAAAAGGGAATATTTTGATTTGCATTTTACTAACAAGGGAAACTCAGATTCAAAAGAGTCCAATGACTCTCCCAACGTCTCCAAAGCTCATGCTGTTTCCATGAAATGATTCCCTTTCCTTTTTAGAGTAGCTTAGTCCGTGGTCCACACTACAAAACGCCGTCCTCATTCCACTTGGCCATCTATAAACTGAAATTTGCGATCTTAAAATAGATGAGGGATTCCCTCGTTTCTGGGCTTCCGTGTATTTATTTTACCTCCTGAAAGTGTATCAGTCTGCATGTGTGCATTTTTCTGAGAAAGCCAGTTTTCATTAGATTTTCAAAGTAGTCTCTGGTCCTAAAACAAAAGGGCTAATCACCCAAAAGTGTTTATATTTGGGGAAATGCTTATTTTTCTCAGACCCGTTTCTCTCACCAATGACTGTTTTCTCTGCTCAGTCTGTGTGGGTGATGTCTTTGTTGTTGTTGCTGGGTAGTGACTACTTATCCAGTCCTTCCCATCCATCTCAGTGGCCATAAATGAATAATGCGATGTGTGGGACCCTGCTTGGTGGTTGGGCGGGGAGGAGTGAGGAGGAGTGGTTGAAATGGCTAAAACACTGACAGCCAGTCAGAGATAGCCCCTGCAAGAATCCACAACAGCAAAGGTGCTTACTTATGCCTGGGGTTTGGGGAGGAGGTTACTGGGAGAAACGATAGGCCGTCTTTAGGCGTTCAAGGCAAAAGGAACAGTATGAGCAAGAAAACAGAGGCAAGGACCGGGCACTCTGGCTCACACCTGTAATCCCAGCACTTTGGGAGGCCTAGGCAGGTGGATTACTTGAGGCCAAGAGTGCAAGACCAGCCTGACCAAGATGGTGAAACCCTGTCTCTACTAAAAATACGAAAATTAGCCAGGTGTGGTGGCACACACCTGTAATCCCACCTGCTTGGGAGGCTAAGGCAGGAGAATCGCTTGAACCCGGGAACCTGGGAGGCAGAGGTTGCAGTGAGCCAAGATAGTGCCATTGCACTCCAGCCTAGATGACAGAGCAGACTCCATCTAAAAAAAAGAAAAAAGGCAGAAGCAAGGAGGCAGGAGCCCTTCCACTGTCATATTCTGGTGTGGCTTATGTACAGAGTGATCAGAGTAGCTTCAGCAGAGGGGCGGAATCTTGAAAGAGAGCTCTAAGCCAGGCTTATAGCCTTGCATACCAAGTAAAAAATTTACCCAGCTTTATTTGACAGCCAGCTTAGCAGGCGTTTATGCTAACCATGGCTAACTTCGTCGACTCAGCTAACTCTGTATTCTATTTGCTCCCTGGATTCTGTCTCAGGAAGTAGCACCCCCCACCCGCCCCTCCCTGCCTGACAGGCCCACCTCCCACCACTCTGCAGACTCTCACCTCATCCACCTTTCCTGTCCCAGCCTTAGGTTGACCGTCTGCACAGCTTGCTCGGGTACCAAGCCAGGGCTTTTATTTTAACATGTTAGTTTTGTTTGCAATGATGAGTACGTTGAAACAAGGGCAATTGCTCCTTTCAGAAGCTGGAAACAAAGGCAGAGCCGCACCTGTCTCTGAGATTTCAAGTGAAGTTTCAACACTTTGGACATTCTTGATGCTTGAGATTTCACGGAGCATGCTAATCTCTCTTGGCCTCATATTCTTCAGGTTTTTTGTATGTGATGGCTTTTATTGGATTTTTTTTTGTTTCGGTACCAACATAATTTTTTATATCCCCCTGCACTTCCCAAAATAAATTTGACCTGGGAGCAAATTTCCTTTGCTCCTTTGCTTTGACATGTCACATCCAAAGCCTCCTTTGGTACCCAGATGAGCTCCAGTTTAAGAAAACTCAACATCTGAAAACCTTCTTAGATGTCGAGTCATCCCAAGGTCCTGGGGCCATCGAATTCTGCAGGGCCTTTTGCTTCCCAGAAGGACCATTTTCATCAGGACTCGCCTCCTGGTCCCTTGACCTGATAGGTTGTATTTTACCACCTGCCAGAGAACTATGGAGGCAGATAAACTTCAAGAACAAATGTGTGACACAGTTGCCTGTGGAATGAAAGCTGGGCAGGGAAAAGGAGAAGGCCTCTTTTTCATTTTGTTTTTTTTTTTTTTTAGTTATATTGTAAGACAACAGGAATGGAAGAGATTTAATTCCCCAGAATTAGTTGTATATGTGACATTCCCTGTAACATGTTCAGAGACTGGTGAATGATCCCAGGGGTCTCAAGTATCCAATATAAGAGTGGGAGGAGGAGAGAGAGAGACTGGAGAGAGAGAAAGGAGGAGGACACCCAAGAGAAGGGCATCGGGAAGAGGAATGGATCTAAGGGAGACATGGAGAGAGTTTGGTGGGAGAGTGGATCAAGGGGTACAGCAGGTAGAGAAATCTCAGGTGGTGCCCAGGGCTCTGGTTATGACACTGGGAGGATAATAATGCTTTTTGTTGGGTGAGGGAAGAGGAGAAGATTTTGGAAAGAGTGGAAAGTGAGGTTTCTATGGCCTTCCCCGAATGGCTATGCTTGTGGGACATTCACTTGGATTGATGGGCCTGGAGCTGGGGACAGAAGTCTAATATAGAGCCAGAGGTTGAGAGTCATCTGCCTATGGGTGGAAATTGGAGTCAGAAGGGTCACACCAGGGAGAATGAGAAAAGGCTGAAGAAAGAACATGGAGACCAAGACTTAAAGGCCAGATGGACAAAGTAGAAACTTGAGGAGGAACTTCCAGAGAGGTGAGAGATGAGGAAGGAGATGGGTCCCAAGTATCTCAGCAAGGAGAAGTTGCTCAGCGGTGCCCATGACAAGCCTTCACCTACAGCTCTGCTCTCAGAGGGTTAGAGGGTCTTGGCTGTTGTTTATTTAAATACTTGAGAATGAATTCTGAAGAAAGGAGGTTTGTAATCCAAAAAACTGACAGCCTGTTTAAGCGAATTCACTATCAGAACAGCCCAAATTTGAGATAACTTCTAGGTGTTCCCTTTTACTTTCTAGACTGGAGTTGAAACCAACCAAGAGAGGAAGAGCAACTTGCCCAACATGACACTAAGTGAATGGTGTCTCCAAGATGAGTGCTTGGGTCTCTGGGGCCCCTTGCCCTGCATGGGGTACCTTTCCATTTGAAATTAGGCAGAACGGGCCTGGGTAGGCTGAGAGTGTCCACCTGCCTAGGTAAGAAGCAGGTGTCTCAAGCAGTTTCCTCATAAGCATGTTCTTGATTTCCCAAGAGAAAGGGGACAGATTCACTAGTGACTTCCCAGCGGTGGCCTGGGCCGGAGCTGAGCCCAGTTTGATTGCTTCCATGTCACTAGCATTTGAAAGTGGGGGACACATTGACTTTCATTCCCTAAAAAAGAATCTAATTTTGCCCTCATTTCTTGGGTACTTTTTGCTGCTGTACTATTGATGTTTATGGAAAAATTAGCTATGATGAGGTAATAGTCTATTTTAGAAAACTGAACTCAGATATTGAAAGAACTATTTTAAACCTGCACTTAATTGTTCAATTCCATAATGGTTTCGTGGTTTTTTTTTTTTAGAATTCCCGTGAATTGCCTTACAACTGGACTCTAGCAGCTTGTATTCCATGGGGAATGCCAAGCCCTTTTGAGGGACACCATGGTATTAATGATCGATGAGAATATTCAAGGCATTTTCTCATTTGAGTGCCATTACTTGTAGTGTTAAAACGTTTTGAAAACACACTTTAGCCATTAACTCATTTTTATTGTCAGATGAAAGTGCTTAATAGACTCACTCCACTTCAGTTTTCTTCCTTCATCTCGGAATGAAATCGTCTGTTGGATTCTTGGCAATACATTTGACAATGGAACAGAAAACCTCATGACTTCATTGCAAAAAATGGCAGATGGAGCAGGGATGTGCAAGCCCAGCCCCGCCATCTAAAATGGCTAACCTGGCTTAGCAAATACAGGCTCCCAGAATGTATCAACTGAGCTACTTCATTCCAGTGGTGCATATTTTTCCCCAGAAAAACAGCTGCTTATATCATTTAAGAAATGTACCTTTAGATGAGAAGTATTTTTTAACACCACCTATTGATATATTGTAAGCTGATGATTAAATGGAAGTGGGTAGTTTGTTTTGCTTGTAATTCAAAACAGTCAGATGGTGTACATGTTGTAAACGGGGTTCTGTGGTGACCAGGAGAAAGCGTGTCTGAGTCATCTGAATACTAGACATGTCAGGGCTGGGCCCCTTCCTCCTGGGACACCCACTGGATGCCAGACGATGGCTGGGAGGAGCCAGAAGTGCTGCTGGCTTTGCAGAGCACTGTGGGACATCTGCAAGCCTTTGATGTCACTGACAACAGTGGCCGCCCTGGCTGCCCATCAGGATTTCTCCAACTCTGAACCTTGCTGATAAGCTTGAAAGGTAGATTGTCTTAATTGCCCTCCTAAAATCACATCCAGTCTCCAGAAACATTCCTAAAGCCAAAACTGGACTGTTTTCCTCTACTCTGTTTTCTTCTACCCTGCTGGGGAAATCTTGGGGCCCCATAGTAGCTAGAAGGTCAGACTTAACGATAAAACAAAGCGAGGTAGCAGGTGCAGATGAAGGCGCTGGCCTGACGACGTGAGAGGCCAGGTCACGCTTGTAGCTCTGCTCCCAGCCCCACACAAGGCATAGCCCAGGTGCGTGTTCCTAGACTTCAGGATTTCAAAAACCAGTAACATTTCCAAATAAACCTGGCATATTTAGGATATAATTACAACATCATTTTCCAACATAAATAAAAACCGTGTAACATAGAAGTGTTTGAATAACTTTCTGAAAGGCTCATGACGTAGGCTTTGTTTTTCTCATTTTGCCTTGGAGGGCTTGGGAACCACTAGTCAGAACAATCCTAAGGATTTATTTTTCAGTGCTTACTACATGCTAGTCCTGTCCTTAAGTGCTGGGAATACAAGGTGGTGTAAAAGCAGCCCTGCCCTAGAAGACAGGGAGATACAGGAGAAAGCGTATGTAATTATGGTTTGCTGCGATAGGCACTGTTGCATGGCCCACAAGACATGTTAGGTGAGCAGAGACGAGGAGCTCACTCAGAAGAGTGGCTTTTGTTTTTACTGGTGTAGAATAGAGGGGGAGGGAGGGCTCAGGGGGTCCTTCCAAGGGTCCTGATCTTCACCCTCCTACTTCAAAGGAAGTGTGGGGGAAGCAATTGCCAAGAGCTGGTGCTTAGATGTCAGATAGAAGGGGATTCCAGTGACCCTGATCTGTCACTGGTGAGATGCAGTAAGTTTCTAAGTCTTTAAGATTATTTATCTCTGAAACTGGGATAATAGCAGTAACTATTTCATATGGTTGTTGTAAAAATTAAAATATGGCAATACATAAAGCACCCTCCTCACTCTGGCCTGCAGATCATTAAGAATGTTAAGCAGACAGAGCAGCATGTGCAAGGGCCCTGAGGCAGTCAAGAGCAGAGCCACTCTAGGGATGGGATGTGCAGGGCAAGGCTGGAGTGGAGGGGGCGGGGTCCAGGCGTTCTGTGCCCAGTGCATTCATTTGAATGCATTCTGTCCGACAGGCACTGGGGAGCCACAGAAGCATGTTAAGCAAGGAAGTAGTATCTCAGATTTGTGATTAGGAAAATGGCTCTGCCGGCAGCATGGAAATGAGTAGAAGGGAGACAAGACTGGTGTCAGGAAGATCAAGTTGGAGACTATTTGCAGGATACTGGCAAGCTCTGCCAAGGGTATGAATCAGGAAAATCAAATTGAGAAGGAAGGAAAGTGTGCAAAAAAAAAAATTATTCTGGACCACCAGCGAGGGTGTCCTTATTAGGGAGCAAAGAGCATTCTGAGTTCATCATGTCTTAGAAAATGAACTTGATGCCCCATTTACTCTTTGTATTAATGGAGAGAGCATGAGATTGAGAGCCACAACATCTCTCTTCTAGTCCCTTCTTTGACCCTAATGTGCTGTGGATTCTTGGACCCATTCTTTTTTTGTAAAATGAGAGCTTTAAAAAGATGACCCCAGTTCTAATATGGAGTGTATTCAGATTAAATTTGGGGATGTAGGGGGCCTGTATATTATGAAGTCCAGGACCCATCTGGAGGACCTTGGGAAGGACACTTACTATACCTGGTCATGGAGTTCTTATACCCGTAAAATGGGTCCAATGATAACTTTTCTCCCTTTGACATATGTTCATACTGAAGATAAATGCAATCAGACACATCTTTGACAAAGATGTGAAATTATATAAATATATGTTATTGGTGTATTCATGGTCAGTCTGTAGTTTAAATGCTATGTTGCCAAAAAAAAAATTGGATGAGTCAGGACTTCCTTATTCCCAAAATGTTGTTATAGGCAATCTGAGTCTTCGATTTCTTCAAGTCTTTGCACCAGAGAGGCTAAAGATTATAGATTCTGGAAGGTATTGGGTCATTCAAAATGATAAGAAAATCTATCCCTTCTGATAGAGGTCTTCTTATCTGTTAGAGATGAGTATTATTGTCTTAGATTTTAAAAAAATGTTAGAAAATAAACCCTGGTAGGGCTGCTGTTGTATTGATTTGTTTTCTCACCTTCTGTTCATTATTGATAAAAAGTAGCATTGGCTTAGGAATTCTCCTTTCAAATAGTCATAACCAAAGAAAGAAATCTCCTAGGAGCTTGTGATCTACTCATGAAGGTTGAGCATTGAAATTTTGGTATACACAGGCAGAGGTCATCATTCACACTGCCCTGTTCCCTGGGCCTGCTTCCTTTGATATGTCTTATTTATAGAAAACAAATGAATTTCTCCATAAACCACAGTCACTTCTTTTTAAAATAAACCCTGCTTGATTTCATTTGGTTTTATACTCTGGGAGTGCAGCTAATGCTATCAACTTATTTTTCTTCTAAACAAAAATAGAGTTGCAAATAGTGAAAAACAGTGTCTGCATATATGAATTCTCTCTTTTTTTTTTTTTTTGAAACTGGAAATGTGACTAGAGAATTATTTCTTAAAGAGAGTCATGGTTTTCCACTGAATAGCCTTAAAGCCAACTCTCATAGAAGTGGTTTTGAACTGAGAGCCAAGAAAGCGGTCATAGAAAATACCATGAGTACATCCAAAATTGTCACCCCTTAAAGATGAGTGCCTCCCTTGGCAAGGGCGTGCAGGCAGGCTTTAGAGGCATTGCTACCACTCCTAAAATGACTAGAGAAACACCCATATTCTAGACTATTTGGGGGAAAAAAATTGAATAACCTATTTCAAAATACTAGCACAGTAAATGAATCTTGAGGAAGAAATTCTCTGTTTTTGGAGGATTGAGGGGTCACCCAATGTGTATTCTGTGTTCCCTTCACACTCAGAATCCCCCCCAACCCCCTCAGCTGGAGGGCTTCTCTCAGCCAACCCGGATTCCCAGTATTCTTCACGTTGGGTGGCAGCTTGCTTCTTCTATCGAGCAAACTCTTCCAGAAGACTTCACCCCACATAATTTTCTCTTTTCCTTCATTTCCTAAAGAAACACCTCCCTTCCTGTACATGCTATTGAGTAGCACTAGTGTAGAGCCAACCCCTTTGGAATCTAATGGAAGCTATGGGCTGTCTCCCCAGAAAAAATGAGCGTGTTCATTCAACAATACAGCACCCTACACATACCTTCAGCTGACCACACTCTCTGAAGTCCCCAGGCAGGGGCCTCCTAGGGATGTGGAGCCCCAGGACTTCTACTGTGCAGAAAAGAGCATAGTCTTCAGATTCACAGAGTTTCAATGTCAAATGTGACTCTATCTTTTATTTTCTTGTAGTATTTGAAAAATTGTTTAGCCATTCGAACCTCCTTTTTATCCCCCCAATCAATGTGATGATAATTATAGCTACCTGATGTTTGCTGTAAGGTTTGAATGAGATAAAGTGTGTGAAAGCTTCAAGTATAGTGCCACACACACAGTGGGCACTCAATAAAATGCTGATGTTCCAGTTTCTCTCATAAATTATAGTAGTAATAACTATAATTACTCTGTTACT